>NC_000006.12:62307351-62610382 GCF_000001405.40 Homo sapiens | reverse complement strand
CCTGGTTGCTCCTAACAGAATATAGTCATATATGTTCATAAAGAGACGGTCTGAAATTGGACCTTATGTTTAAAAAGGAAGCAGAGCATAAAAGTTTCGAAAATTTGAAGACTGATTATGTGGTAGAAAAGAAAAACCCATCTTCTGGGTATGAATTCAAGCATCCTGCAGAAATGTGCATAAAGAGAAGCTGAATATTAATAGCAAAGACAGTGTGAACAATGGCTCCAGGGCATTTCAGAGACCTACTTGGCAGCTCTTCCCATCACAGGCCTGGATGCCTAGGAGGGAAAAATGGATTCATGGGCCAGGCCCAGAGCCCAGCTGCTCTGTGCAATCTTGGGACACAGCACCCAGCACCCAGTTGCTCCAGCTCCAGCTGTGGCTGGAAGATGTCAAGGTATAGCTCAGGCCGTGGCTTCAGAATCGATTAAAACCAGAGGGTATAGTAGGAAGGAATTGCTTCAATTTGTAGATGGGCATAATCAACTTCCTGAACACGTTTTCTAAAATGGATTATAAAAATAATTAATTTGGGGCAGTGTCTTTGGTTTTAAATGCTGCAGAGTGGAAAAGCATGTTTAGGTTGATGCAGGACCCACAGCTCACTATTGAACAAGTGCAGATGGCTATCTATGATCCAGACACAGATGGGGTTATTCCTGAGGGAACAGCCAGCCTTGAGGACTGAATGAAAGCTACTTTAAGGTCTGTTTACCATGAGAAAGGTGACTGCCCAACTCCCCCTATAATTGCCTGGTGGAGCACCCCAGATGAACAGCTAAAATGCTTCATATACAAGCCATGTAGGACTGGCATTATGATGACAGGGATATCCACTCACTGAACATGCCTGTTACCTAGGTTATGGTAAATGCTGTGGTTAAGTGTACCCCTTCTAC
Organism: Homo sapiens; assembly: GCF_000001405.40. Lineage (NCBI taxonomy): Eukaryota > Metazoa > Chordata > Mammalia > Primates > Hominidae > Homo > Homo sapiens. The sequence goes on along the minus strand of NC_000006.12, from coordinate 62,609,480 downwards.
CTGGGCACCCCATGTGACCTTACTCCTGCAGAATGGAACAATAGTTTGAGAAGCCTCATCAAATTTGCTGCATTCTCAGCTTTCCCAAAGGGTCTTGCAGATGTTAATTAAAACATTAGGTTAATTAACAAGAGAAGGGAAAAGGCATAAGGAAGAGTCAAAGGACTCATCCCAGGAAAGTGGAAATTTTTAAGAGGTCATTAAAGAAATGAGGCAAATAAAGGAAACATTGATAGGGGTGAAACCAAGAAGAAAAAGAAAGGGAAGACTCATTGGACTAATCCCAGCAAGATGGAAATCTTTAGATGGTTATTAAGAAAATCGATGAATAAAATGTAAATTGATGGCATTAAAACAAAGCTCTTACTAAAACATTATCAAAGATTTGGTGAACTCAAAGGAGCCCCTCCTAGTCCCCCAACATTAAAGGACCCCAAACCAGGTTGCTGTATTTCCCTCACTTTGGAGAAATTTTTAAAAGCTAGAAGGCATAGATTATAATGAGAAATCTGATCCGAAATTGCCCGGGGTAATAGTCCAACAAATTAATCAAGATAAGGATTTACAAAAGAGTCAGAGTCCTTTGGTCCAACCTCTGGCTGGGGACCAAAAGCCTTTTGCACAAGGAAGTATAAAATGGTCTAGGGGTGAAGAAGAGACATTCTTGGAACTAGAGCATAAAAATGCAAGAGCTGATAGGATTATGAAAGTTGGCATATTTGAACACACTTCATATGAAGTGGTTGCATCTCTTTTACTTGATTGTATCATGGGTATGAACACTGTATCTAACTGGGAAATGTTTTCTCTACCTAGTGCCATAAAATAGAAGGCATGTCAATTTGCCCTTCAAGCAATATTAACTGGACACGCTAAATGGTAACCAGTAAGGTTGCCCAAGTCTGCACAGTGCAGAGTAGAAACTAACTAGGTTACTGATAGGGACAAATTCTCCATTTAACAGTCCTTTATGAAGCATTTTTAAAATTATGGCAAAGGCCTATGAGCACCTCCAAAAAACAACTACTGATACTTTGCACTAGACAGTTTCAACATGAGGGGCATTTACTGTTTTACTGTGAAGTGTTAGCTGAAGCTATCCTTATGACACTTGAACTACTCATAGTGTCTTGGGTGATGTCAGAGAAACATTTTGATGGGAATGGCAGTTCCCAGAAGTAGTCTATAATAAAATGGAAATCATTTATAAAGAATCGTGCTACCTGGGGAATGCAATGAGGAGATACCCCAAGCAAGGAGTATCTTTTCTACTACAATGGACTGTGGAACTGTGTAAGAAACTGCTGGATTCAACAGAGCTTGATAAACAGCTCTCAACTGAGTGACAGAAAGCTACTTGGTTCATGGATGGCAATTCCAAGGTAAATGTTTGGAAGGCTGCTGTTTTGATCAAACAAGGTAAAAACAGATCTGCCCAGTGGGCTGAATTGCCTGCTGTTTTCCTAAGAGTAATGGAAGAATTGAACAATTGTAGAAGCCCCTGTGTTTGGGTTTTTACTGACTTATATGTAGTTACTAATGGCCTGGCTATGCATTCAGGTGAGAGGACAATGGAAACCTGGATGATTAAAGAGATGCCTGTAAGGAGCATGGTCCTATGGAAAATTGAGGGGTGCATTAAAGTAGAATAAGTCAATGCCCATTCCAGAATCCCAATGCCCATTCTGAATCCCTTCCAGATTCAGAAGGTGACTGGAATTGACCCCATATGCTCCCTTGATGTGGCCTCCTGGGCCCATAAAATCAGTGGATTCAGGGAAGCTGAAGCAGTGTGGAGATGGACTGAACCTAAACATGTTCCTTTTGTACCATCTCAGGCACATAATGCTAATGAGACTTCTATTTCTCAGAAAAGGGACAGAGACTGCCGATGGCTATATGGGAGATTCCTTGGTGGGAAAGCCCTGAACACAGCTGGAAAGTGAGATTGATGCTTGTAGCCCTGGGGGCTACAAATAGATCTTGACAGGAATAGACACTAACTCTAGAGTGGGCATTGCTTCCCTTGTGGAAGATGAAAATGCCCAGCGTGTCATAAAACAAAAATAAAAATAAACAAACAAAATAGCAGAAGATATTGCGTGGATTTGGATTGCCTGTGTCATTTCTTCAGACTAAGAAAGATGCTGAATGGTCACAACAATGGGCAGAGAGATATCCTTCTCCCAGTAATAGTTTTATAGAAAAGTGGAACTGGCAATTAAAACATTGTTGTTTGAAACAGAGGGAAAGGGAGACAAAGGCATGAAAGGCTAGCTTACACGCCTTTGCAAGTGTGTGTTCATTCAACATGAGTAGGACTAAAGGAGTGTCTCCACTAGATTTTTCTATTTTTCTGGTTTATCTGGGGAAGACGGCATGGGGAGTATGGTGGAATGACTATGCAATTTTTGCTGAGGAAAGAGTACACTGATTTAAAGACTACATAGTTTTCTTTTTTCCCCAGATCACCTCAAAGATAATTTTTTTTTCTCTTTCTCCTTTCTGATGCAACGGTCCTACGACAAGTACTGGAAGCAGGGATGATTTCTAAGCATGAAGCCGTAACTATGTTTTTATTTTATTTATTTATTTATTTTTGAACTGAGGTCTTCTTCTGTCACCCAGGCTGAAGTGCAATGTCACAATCACGGCTCATTGTAGCCTTGACCTCCTGGGCTCAATTGATCCTTCCACCTCAGCCTCTTGAGTAGCTGAGACTACAGCACACACCACCTCGGCCAGCTAATTTTTGTACTTTTCATAGAGACGGGGTTTTGCCACATTGCCCAGACAGATCTCTAACTCCTGCACTCAAGCAGTCTGCCCACCCTGCCTCCCAAAGTGCTGAGATTACAGGTGTAAGGCACCATGTCCAGTCAATATTTTAAAACCTTATGTCAGAATTTTGTGTGTCCTTTGTCTGATAGGTTCAGTGTGGGCCTGGTTACCAGAAAGCAAAAGCCAGATTAGAGTGTTGGGACTTTCAGCTCCAACCCACAACCTTTGGGGAGGGGAGAGGGGCCGAAGGTCAAGTTGATCACCAATGACCAATGATTTTATCAATCATGCCTACATAATTAAACCTCCACAAAAACCCAGAGGACAGAGTTTGAAGGGCTTCCAGATAGTTGAACACGTGGAAGATCCTGGAGGGTGGCATGCGCAAGGAGGACATGGAAGCTCCACTCTGCACCCCTTCCCTCATACCTCACCCTGAACATCTCTTCATCCATATCCTTCGTAATGTCTTTTCAATAAACCAGCAAATGTAAAATAAATAAATACATTTAAAATGTTATAAACTTTAAAAGTTATATAGTATTGATTGCCTTTCACAGCAGAAACATTAATAAATCTATGTAAAAAGATATATTTTAGCTAGGGATTCTAAAAAATAATTATTGCTAAAAATGTTATCAGAAAGTACATAATAGATCGTTCCTCTTCCTTCAGGTTGGCACAATATGAAAACAAGGATTTAATTTGTTGAGAAAAGAATATACCCAAGAAGTGCAAGGATTCAATTTAACTCCAGTAATTGTATGTGTTTAATATAGTGACATTATTTTAAAGTTTTAATTTATTTAGTAGTGTAAAAATAGTTTTAAAAGAGAAAATTAGCAGTTACATAACATCTACGTACCTAAGGTGAATAACAATGCACTATTAATAAATTATAATTTCTGAGTTATGTCAGTTTTATGCCAATTTTGTGTTACTTTTTCTGTAGTTAAAGCACTGTTCTATGTATTCATAAACAGTTAATAATATTTTATAATTAAAAATCTGCACCTCCAAAACAGCTTGCTGTGCTTACTTTCCTCATAGATGCTATTATTAATGAAAATTTAAATCCTTATAAAAGATGTCTTAGAATATTTTGCCCATTTTCAACACAAATGACTATTATTCTATAGCTTCCTGGAAAAAAATAAGAAATAATAAATCATTTAAGCATTACTAACATGTATAGTCAATATAGTAAATAAAATTATGGAATGATAAAAAACATCTGGGTTAAAATAATTAGCAAAAATATACCATCAAGAGTTAATGTACAGAATTAAAAATGAGTATCCCAAATTTCACTCAATTCAAAATGTAAAAAAATAGTCCCAGAAAATTGCTAGCATGGTAATCTTCTTAAACAAAATTGGAGCTTTTAAAAATACATATTTTCCAAGAGATTTCAGTAGCAAAGCAGTCATTTTTAGCAAAGCAGTTATCAAATGATGTTTACTTATATTAAATACATGTATTTAATATGTATCTTCGATTAAAGCTTGAATTAAGAGGAGGAAAAACTAAATGTGTTTGTAAGTTAAATTATGTCACATTTTGAAAAGATTATCTAGTAAATTATTTGCTTCTTGTCTTCTTATTTAGGACCTTACTGAATATCGTATGTTTACATAAAACCTGCAACCTACGTTCTTAGATTCTTCGAAATGTTAGAGGGCACATATTTGTGCTGAAAATGACACTGCCAGTAGTTCTTATCTCCTTTACCTAGAAATGAGCACATAGTAAGTTTGCAACATTATTAGTTATTATTAGCCATTTACAAGTAGATCTTTCTGAGGCCACTTTCTTGAGATACTTTCAAAGTCATGTTCATTTACAGAAGCTTTTGCTGGAAGCTGAAAATGTTTTTTTCAATCTTTAGTTATCTGTATTTTGGGTGCCTCAAACTACTGGTTCCCACGTTAAATATCCAGTGTTACCAACTGAAGAGACCTAATTTTGAGGACCCCAGATTAGAATGCCAACCTGGTAATTATTATCTTCTCCAAAAAAAAAAAAATGTTCTAGTAAGGTAGATGAGATTGTCCTCCTAATTTGAGTCAAAAATGTCAAAAAACTATTCAGGCAGAGGCTTTCTAGAAAGTCATGATTTTCTCTTATAGAAAACATTTTCCTTATTATTTTTGTAAAACAATGTATCAGTGTATTTACTTTCATCAGTACAAGTTAGAACACCATTATTGGCAGAATTATTCCTTTTTAAATGTGAATCTCTCCTGGAAGAAATTGTTATGTCCAAGTTCAACTTCAATCAGAAACAATGCTTGCAGACCGCTTAACCAGAGCCGGTCATGCTATGCCATACAATTCTTCCTGAAATGCCTCCTTTTATGTAATCACAACAAGGAAAACAAATCTTATAAAAGTACTTGTCTTTGGACCAGAAATATCTGCAATTATAATTCATGCCCACAATGGGCATGAGATTTATGAGATTCATTGGGAAAGGGGTTGCACTTCAGAATATTGCAATACTCTGTCTGCACTAAAAAATTAATCATACAAAAAACTGTCTGCAAGACAAAAAGTATTGGAAACACTCCATCACTCAATAATCACTCTGGTATTTAGTATTTCAAGTTGGGAAAGATTGTTTCCAATGTATCATTCTGCTCAAATGAAAGAGTGCTTTTGAGAAAAGAAGAGCTTGAGCTATTTCTTAACAAGAAATTGAAAAAGATCTTAATATTGTCTAAACAGATGAAGCACCAATGGCCAGTTTTTCCTTAAAATGATATGTTGTGAGACATATTTAAAGCAGCAGTTCTCTATAACCATGATATTAAAAAAGCTAATTATTTAATGTAAGTGTAGCTCTTTTAACAGACTTGGAAAAATACAATTGAAATTAGTTTCTAAATTTTTCTTAAATTATAAGATTCCCTAGTAATGGTAAAAATAATGTTGCATAGATTTTGAAAAATGGTACCATACTATTAAATGTCTCATTTGTTTCATACACAGTTCTTAGAAATAGAAAATGATTTACTACTGAGTGTTTCTGAGTTGAGGAACTAAGGATTGAGAAAATTAAATTAATCTCAAAAGCTTAAGAAATTGCAGAATATTTTCTTCCAATATCAGAGAGAAATATATATTTTCTGTGGCCAAGAGGTCTAAAAGATAGGACAGAAAGTAAGCATTTATCATAGACACTGAGATACAACTAATTACAAGATTCTATTCACCAAGAAAAATAAAATGTGGACAGTGTATTTTCCATCAGGACCAATAAACAGGCCCATAAAACAAGTTAAAAATGGTCCATGTATAAAAGTTTTATATTTGATTGTGTAATTAGTAAAAAAAGTATTTGACTTCAATAATTTGAAAAATGGTGTGATTTTATTAGAAGTTTTAGCCTAAACATTATTTCATTTCACTTCATTTATTCTGTAAATGCTTCATTCATTACCTACTATATCATAGCTACTCTTCTAGGAACTAGAGATTCAGATATAAAAGACAAAGTCCTTCCTGGAGTACACATTTAGTTGGGAATGTTAAAAATTCCAATACCCAAGTAGACACACATATCATTTTATTCAATTGTAAATTCCGTGATATAATATAAAGCCAATTGGAATCTGATTTGGGTAATGAATGGCAAAGAGTGAGAAGCGTTTTATACAGGTAGATCAACATAGACCTCCCTAAAATGTGATGTTGGAGCTGAGTTATGAAGGCTGAATAAGAATCAAATATGTAAGGCTGTGGAAGAAGAGTGTTTCTGGTTTAATATCAAGTGTAAAGGTCCTGGGATAAAAAACAGCTCAGGTTCCAAAGTGTTATTTAATATTTTGGCTGCAAACTTTGGCTACTGTTCATGTTCATATTGAAGAAAAAGCATAAAGTTAATGTTATAGACATGTAAATTTATAGATTTTCTCATCTACTGGACTCTTGGGCCATTTATTTCTCTATTCTTATTTCAGTACAATTCCGCTAAAGAAACTACAAACAATATAATTCAGATTTAAGTTTGCAAATATTTTTATTTCAATGACAAAAATTAAATGATGTTACTGTCTTCAGAAGATCACGAAGACAGAAGATTTAATAAGCAAAATCTGGTATATACATACAATGAAATATTATTCAACCTTAAAAATAATGGAAATTCTGACAAAAGTTATAACATGGGCGAATCTTGAAGACATTAAGCTAAGTGCAACAAGCTAGTAACTAAAGGAAAAATACTGTATAATTCTACTTACATGAGATCACTATAACAGTCAAATTCATAGAGTTGGAAAATAGAATGGTAGCTGCCGGGAGCTGAGGAAAAGTTAGAGTGGGGAGTTATTGTTTAACAGGTAGAGTTTTGATTTTTGAAGATGAAAATGTTCTGGAGATGGATGGTGATTATGATCGAACAAGAATGTGAATGTATTTAATGCCACTGAATTGTACACTAGAAAAATCACTAAAATAGTAAATTTCTTTATATGTACATATTTTACCAGAATTTAAGAAAAGACTGTATTTAATTATTGTGGTGATGTGTGTTCCCTAGGTTACATTATGGAAAGACTATACTTAATATGAAATTCTCAGTAAAGAAATTTAAAATGTACTTTTTGTTGCTTTGTTCATATTCAATATTTCAAGATCTCTAGGACTATATCTTATTAAACCAAAAATCCTTTCTTTCTGAAATTTGTTATAACAAGAGGTAAAAAAAGTCAACAGGCAAATTTTTCCTCAAATTTACTCTATTATAAATGATGAACAGTAGCAGAATAAATTATTTTTAAGTTATGTTCTAGTTAGACATTATTTAGTGTGTGTATATATTTACATATATACTATCTTACAGAAACAGCCAAAAATAGAAACTACTGTGAACATATACGTCAAATAAATCTAATTTATTGGATGCAACATTATGTATTTCATCACAACTTAAGATAGATGTAAAATTCTAACAATTGTAGTAAACCCTTATCCTACTGTTTATGAAAAAAATGGTTTTCTCCTGGAGTTAAGCAATTAATAAAAAAGAATATTCATCATACATGATACCATTTTATATTAAAAAAATTTGTTTCTACTAATGCCATGGGGAATTCTCAAACACTGTGTTAAGAAAATGCTTAATTAATTAATATAAACCACATATAGTGAGGAGAAAATAAACTTTTATCCCATCTTGCTGAGCTACAGGAGCCTAAAGATAAAAGGTTCCTTGACTACAGGAAATTGGTAATGAGCAGTGAAAAATCACGGTGGCATTCTCACATTATGAAGTTAGGCTTACCAGGCAGGACTTAGCCTCAAAGATATTTATCATTAAATCAAATCTGCACAGATCATGCAATATCTCCTAGCATCATGGAAGGCATTCCTGGGCAGAGGAACCTGACAGACACTTAGAAGCCATTGCACCAACAAGTAGCACCTCTCATCATTTCTGCTACACAAAGATTATTATAGTAGAAAGTAAGGGAAACTATTAATAACAATACAATAGAAAGAAAGTGGCTCAACTATGTAATTGAGTGCTAAATCTTATATTTTAGCTTATTATTTATTTTATTTGCATAACCAAACTGCACCTGTCGTAGTCCATTTTGTGTTGTTCTAAAAAACACCTGGAATAGGTGATTTATAAATTAAAATGGTTTGTTTGGCTTATAATTCTGATTACTGGAAAGTTTGAGATTGGGCATCTGTATCTGGTGAGGACTTCAGGCTGTTTCCCCTCATGGCAGAAGGTGAAGGGGAATAGAATGTGCAGAAGCCACATAGTGAGAAAGGAAGCAAATGGGGGTGGGGAGGTGCCAGGCTCTTTTTTTTCAACATTTATTTTAGAATCAGGGGTATATATGCAAGTTTAATACAAAGGTTTATTGCATGATGCTGAAGTTCTGAGTACAAATAAATATATTGCCCAGGTCAGCCGTTGTGGAAAGCAGTTGGAAGATTTCTCCGAGAACTAAGAGTTGAACTACTATTCAACCGAGTTATCACAGGCTTTTTTTTTTTTTTAATAGAATCTGGTCTAAATTTTATTTCAGTTATTTAGTGAAGGAGAGGAGGAGGAGAAGAAAGAGAGAAGGAAGAAAAACTACAGGAGAAAAAGGAGATGAAGAAGTTGGAGGAGGAAGGGGAGGAGAAGGAGGAGGCTGAGGTGGAGGAAAAGGAGAAGAAGGAGGAAGAGGAGATGAAGAATAATTTTCAACCAGTTCTTTCAGGAACTAATAAAGTGAGAATTCACTCACCTCCAGGGAGGGCATTAATGTGTGCATGAGGAATCCACTCCCATGACCCAAGCCCCTTCCAATAGGCCCCACCACCAACGTTGGGGATGCAATTTCAATATGAGATTTGGAGGGGATAAACATCCAACCATAGCACTATTTTTTGATCTAGATCCACGCAGATAGATGACCATGCTGGAAAAATAAACCTATGTGGATTCTAAGGACTGATATTAAATTACAACCAAATTCTTCAAGCTAAGCACTGCTTAGCAATCCTTTCTTTTCCTCCTAGTCAATTGTCTCTTACTTTTATAAATTCCACATTTCTTCATCTTTCCTCAAAATTCCATCTCCATTTCCACGCTCCCAACTTTTGAATGATGTCTTTATTTTCTATTTCACTAGTAAAGTGACCGACCTAAGCAATGCTAACTGTATGAATCCATCTGCATCTGTTCTTTGACGGTCTCCCTTCCCTCCTGACCACACACCTGCTGAAGGTTAGCACCACTTTTCTTACACTAGATGCTCAATGATTTCCTCAAGGAATTCTCTCCTCTCTCTTATATCATCAGTTTCTTACCTCACCAAGAATCTACCTGTGAAAATGCAAATTAATTCTTATTTTAATAGTTTAATGATTCTCTTCCTTGAATTTATCTTCTTCTCACTTTAATTGCACTACATGTCAACTGTTCTTTATAGCAGAAATTCCTCAAAAGCATAGACTACATTAGTTTTTTAAAAAATCCCCACCTCTCATTTTCTCTTCAGACAATTTTAATTATGCTTTTGTTCCCATGTGATACATTTCTTCCAATGACTGTCTTGCAAACTTCAGTGATAAGTTCATTCTTATAAAAATGATCGGGAGAATGGCACAACTATTTCTTCTGTTTTACATTCAAATTCTAAATTATTACTTTATTTATTTTTACAACAAATAAATTTGAGAATGAATATAAAGAAAGTTAATGATTCTCCATTTCATCTCCTGAAATAATAAATGTCAAAAACCTATTGTCTTTTCTAACAAAAAAGACATGTCAATGGTTAACAGATAAATAAAATGCTCAATGTCACTAATTATTGGGGAGATGCAAATTTAAACCACCAGAAGACATCACTTTACACCTGTTAGAATGGCTATTACCAAGAAGACAAGTAAACAAGTGTTGGCAAGGATGTGAAGAAATGGGGATCTTTGTATCTTGTTGATGGGAATGTAAATTACTACAACCATTATGGTAAATAGTATGGAGATTCCTCAGAAAAACTAAAAATAGAATTACCATATGATCCAGCAATTCTGCTTCTGGGTATTTACTCAAAAGAGTTAAAATCAGTATGTCAAAGAGATATCAGCACCCCCATAGTACCCACAATAACCAAGTAATGACATCAAACCAAATGTCTATCCAAGGGTAAATGGATAAAGAAAATGTGGCATATATGTATAATGAAATACTATTCAGTCTTGAAAATGAAGAGATTCTGTCATTTGCATCAAGATAGATGGAATTGGAAAATATTATGCTAAGTGAAATAAGCCAAACACAGAAAGACAAATACCACATGTTCTCACTTACGTGTAAAATCTAAAACAACTGAAATTACAGAAGCAGAGAGTAAAATGGTGGTTACCAGAGGCTGGGAATGAGAGAAATGGGCAAATAATAGTCAAAAATATCAAGCCTTAGTTAGATAGGAGGAATACATCTGATGTTTATAAATCAATAGCACAATATGCTGATCACAGATAATAATTACTGTACATTTCAATATCAAAGTAAATTTGTAACGTTCTCATCACAAGTAATGTTAAGTATCTGAGGTGATTGATATGTTAATTAGACTAATTTAATTATTCCACATTGTATTAAAAATAATAATACCACTCTGTATCCCATAAATGTATACAACTATAATTTGTCAATATATAATTTAAAAATTCTCCAAAAATAATCTGCTGGTTTACTTTCCTTGTGTTTTCCCATTATAAAATTGTGTACAATAACATATGCACAAGTATACACTTTGATTTGGTATTAAAATGACAATTGAACCACACTAACCTGTTTTTCTATCATTTCTATTTGTCTTCTGATTCATGAAGATTTAACTTAGTCTTTTGAGGTGTTGAATAACATTTCATAATTAAGGCACTCTGAATTTCATTCAATTTTGCCCCTACTGCTACTTGTTTCTAACTTTTTCCACTGTTAAGAACACTGATATAATTAACATCCTTGTTAATATATGTCTGTACCGGGGTTCCCAGAAATCAGAGCCTAAAACACATGGTTAAATGTAAGGGTTTTACCAAGACTTATTGCTCAAAGTGCATGAATGGGACAGGAGAACAAAATAGGAAGAACTGAGAGCCAATACAAAGACAGGTTATTTAGTTGGCCACTGCTGGGGTGTCTATTTGCTCAGTGACTTGCGGCCATTTGAGGAACTATGATCCTCTGTCCCAGAAAAAAAAAGGAGAAAGTATTTAACCATTAACTCTTCTTCCTTATTAATCACAGGTTTACTCCACAGGGCATTAAGTCCCTGAAACTTCTAGGTTGCACATGCTTGAGTTCTTAACTCATTCCCAAGGTATCCTCCCCTCTGATGTCAACTATTAATTTCTGGGGGAGCAAGCAAGAAGAGTGGAAAAACAAGACTTAAGTGAGACCATGGTCAGGTCAGGTTGTAACCGTGATCCTGGTGAGAATTTGCATGAAACTGATTTCCACAGTAGTGGAAAAAATAATTAGTTATGCCAATAGAAACTTTAATGTGCATATGAGATATTAATAATCCACTCTTTGCACCACTCAGAATTTCTCATGTAATTCTAGTCTCTTTCAGGGAGGTAAGTAGCTGCAGTCTCTGCAAAGACTTAATATAGTATAGTTATTGAAATAAGCTACAATTCTCACCTCTTCTCAAGGGCACAAATCTTTCTCAAAAATTTCACTTCTCCACTTATTCTAGGTTTCCTTCATCCTCAGTCGGCACTTCAACTACTTTGGACCCTAAGTCACCATGCCCTTGTTAGGCTGTGTTAACTGCCCAGTCACCATTATTACTGGGTACAGAAGTGCCTAGTAAATTCTATGGGTCTCATGCATACTGTTTCACAAATCAACATATAAAAGCAATGCTAGTTTGTCGTAATGATCCGAGTAGATTTCCCCTTCCCCACCACACAGAAATTTTAAAATGTTGGTCCATAGTCATGAGTAACCCATAATTATCAAGAGGAAATTACAGTTTCAAGTGTAGTGGAAGATTTTTCTCTTTACCCTCATAGGACTCTAATGGCCCTGGGAACTAGGACCACTAACCTGAAAGACCCCAAGTTTGGGGGTGGGATGAGAGCATTAGTACATAAAGCTCTATGAAAGTAACCAGTTTGTTTCTGGACCTGTGCATTCTATTAGAAACACAACACTGTAATATGTTAGTTGTTTACTCAGTGCATCTACTGCATCATAATTGGGCATTTCAACATTATTTTAGGATTTAGTTAGATGCATCTGTGCAATAAAGTATGTGGTAAGACAATGGATCATGTTTTCTTCTGTCCTCATTTTCACTGTAGACTCCCTCCGAAATGAGCCAGTTGATCTGAGACAATATTGTAGGGGATATCAAGCTCATAGATCAGGTATCCTGTAAATTGAATAGACCAAGCATTGTAATTAGGGAAGTCACACTCATATTTGTAATAGCTGTATATTCCAGCAAGGAGTGAATTACTACCTTCCCCAGGATAGAAATCATATGTGTGTGTGTATATATATATATACCCTCCCCACCAACTTACTGAGTGATCTCCTTTAGAAATAGTGTCAAACTGAGGGCAAGATGTCTCTTTCCTCAATAGGTAATTATTTAGGATTTTCAGTAAATAAATCAGCCTTAACGAGAAGCCCATACTGTCTGGATCGCAAAGAGCATCCATCTCCACCATTATGGTAACTTTGTTCATGAGCCCCTTGTGAAAACAATGATGTGAGTAAGGAAAGAGACTGGTTGAATTTCACAGGACAAGTCATACTTTCTACCTAGTTACAGAGGTTTCTCTGTAGTAGACACCCTCTGGAGGGATATACAAAGCTCTACTGGCCTTTTGCCTCTTCACTTGTATTAGTCCATTTTCATGCTGCTGATAAAAACATACCTGAGACTGGGAAGAAAAAGAGGTTTACTTGAACTTACAGTTCCACATGGCTGGAGAGGCCTCAGAATCATGGCAGGAGGTGAAAGGCACTTCTTACATGGTGGTGGCAAGAGAAAAATGAGAAAGATGCAAAAGTGGAAACCCCTGACAAAACCATCAGATATTGTGAGACTCATTCACTACCACAAGAACGGTATGGGAGAAACCGCCCCCATGGTTCAAACTATCTCCTACCGGGTCCCTCCCACAAGTATGTGGGAATTATGGGAGTACAATTCAAGATGAGATTTAGGTGGGGAAACAGAACCAAAGCATGTCTTTCCACCCCTTGCCCCTCCAAATCGCATGTCCTCACATTTCAAAACCAATCATGCCTTCCCAATAGTCCCCTGAAGTCTTAACTTATTTTAGCATTAACCCAAAAGTCCACAGTCCAAGGTCTCATCTGAGACAAGTCAAGTCCCTTCCACCTATGAGTCTGTAAAATCAAAAGCAAGCTAAATACTTCCTAGATACAATGGAGATACAGGTATTGGGTAAATACAACCAATCCAAATGGGATAAATTGGCCAAAACAAAGGGGTTACAGGACCCATGCAGGTCCAGAATCCAGCAGGGCAGTCAAATTTTAAAACTCCAAAATGATCTCCTTTGACTCCAGGTCTCACATCCAGGTCATGCTGATGCAAGACGTAGGTTCCCATAGTCTTGGGCAGCTCTGCCCCTGGGTGTAACACCATTCCCGGCTGCTTTCATGGGCTAGTATTGAGTGTCTGCAGCTTTTCCCAGTGCATGGTGCAAGCTGTCAGTGGATCTACTATTCTGGGGTCTGGAGGACGATGGACCTCTTCACACAGCTCCACCAGGTGGTGCCCCAGTAGAGACTCTATGTGGGGACTCCAACCCCACATTTCCCCTCTGCACTGGCCTAGCAGAGGTTCTCGATGAGGGCGCTGCCCCTGTAGCAAACTTTTACCTGGACATCTAGGCATTTCCATACATCTTCCGAAATCTAGGTGAAGGTTCCCAAGTCTCTGAAGAAAAATTACATGATCATATCAACAGAGGCAGAAAAAGCATTTGACAAAATCCACCACGCATTCATAATAACAAACTCTCATTAAAATAGAAACAGAGAGAAACTTCCACAAACTTGATTAAGAATATGTATAAAAACCTACTGCTAACATCACACTTAATGGTGAGAAACTCAAAATTTTCCACTAATATCAGAAACAAGGCAAGGATTCCCCCTTATACCCCTTCATTTCAACATTGTACTACAAGTCCCAACTAATGTAATGAGACAAAAAAAAAAGGAAATTTAAAGTACACAGATTGTGAAGATATTCTTGAGTTCAGCTATATCCTTCGTAATTATCTGTCTACTCGATGTGTCCATTTCTGAAAAAGGATTGTTGAAGTCTCCACCTATAATGTTGTATTTATCTATTTCTCTTTGCACTTCCACCAGTTTTTGCCTCACATATTTTAATGCTCTATTGTTGGGCACATACATGATAATAATTTTTATATCTTTTTGGAGAATTGACCCATAACATTATGTTATGACCATCTTTATCCCTGATCACTTTCCTTGGTTTAAAGTCTGCTTTGTTTGAAATTAATATAGCTATTCCTAGTTTCCTTTGATTAGGATTAGCATAATATATCTCTCTCTATTTTTTAATCTTTATAATTAACTTTCAATTTTTTTACACGTGGAACCAATAACAGAATGATTTTCTTATTTTTAAGGCTGAATAATATGCCATTGCCTGTATATACCACATTTTCTTTATCTGTGTATCTGTCAATATACTTTTCGGTTATCTCCATGTCTTAGACACTGTGAATAATTCTGCAATTGACCTGAGAATGAAGTTTTCTCTTCTAGATTCTTATTTCTATACTTCGGAAATATACTAAGAAGTGGAATTGCTGGATTATATGATAGGTTTTTTGTTTGTTTGTTTGTTTGTTTGTTTTCTGGGAGACTGAGTCTAGCTTTGTCACCAGTCTGGAGTGCAGTGGCGCTATCTCGGCCCACTGCAACCTCCGCCTCCCTGTTCAAGTGATTCTCCTGCCTCAGCCTCCCGAGTACCTGGGACTACAGGCACGCACCACTACGCCCAGCTAAATTTTGTATTTTTTAGTGGAGACAGGGTTTCAACATGTTGGTCAGGATGGTCTCCATCTCTTGACCTCATGATCCGCCTGCCTCAGCCTCCCAAAGTGCTGGGATTACAGGTATGAGCCACCGCGCCCGGCAAATAGTTCTATTTTTTAAATTTTTTAGGAGCCACCATACTGTTTTCCATAACTGCTGTGTCATTTTACATTTCCAGAACAGTGTACAATAGTATACAGGTTCCAATTTCTCCATATCTTCACACTTAGTATCTTTTCTTTTTCTGATGATAGCCAACCTACCAAGTATTAGGTGATATTTCATTGCAGTTTTGGTTTGCATTTTCCTGATAGTTAATGTTGAGCAGCGTTTCAATAGTTGTTGATTATTTTTATGTTTTTGGGGAAATGCCTATTCAAGTTCTTTGCCTATTTTGCCTATTTTTAAATTGGGTTATTTGTTTTCTTGCTGTTGAGTTATAGGAATTCCTTATGTATTTTGGAAACTAATCCCTTATCAAATACATGGTTTGCAAATATTTTCTCCCATTCCCAAGGTTGCTTTTTCATTCTATTATTTCTTTTGCTGTGCAGAAGCTTTCTTATGTGATATATTTCCACAACATCACATAAATATTTTTGCTTTTGTTGCTTGTGATTTTGGGGCCATATCCGATAAATTAATGCCAAGAAGCTTTACTCTTATGCTTTCTTCTAGGAATTGTGTAGTTTCAAGTCTTACATTTAAGTCTTTAACCATTTTGCCTTTGTGTGTGTGTGTTTCATGGAAGATAGGGTATTTAATTTCTATTTGTGTGTGTGTGGATATCCAGTTTTTCTGATACCATTCACTTTTTAAAAACCATTTTTCCCCATTGCTTGCTTTTGGCATCTTTGTGGAACACAAGTTTATTATATATGTGTGGGCTTATTTCTGGGCTCTCTATTCTGCTCCATTGGTCTATATGTTTGTCTCAATGTCAGTACCATACTGTTATGGTTACTGTAGCTTTGTAATATATTTTAAAACCAGAATGTGTGATGCCACAGTTTTATTCTGCTTTCTCAAAATTTCTCTGGCTCTTCTGGGTCTTTTGTGCTTCATGCTTCCATATTATCTTTACAGAAATAGAAAAAAAAAGAATTTTTTTCTATTTCTGTAAAAAGAAATGCCATTGGGATTTTGATGGGGATAGCACTCAATCTGTAGATCACTTTGCGTGGTATAGACATTTTAACAATATTAAACAGAATGAAGGATAAAAGTTGGGAACATTTTATACCTTTCTGTAATGAAAATGCTCAATAAACTAGGTACAGAAAAAATATACATCAATATAATAAAGACAAAATGTGACTATGCCACAGCTAACATCATAATCAACAGTGAAAATGTGAAAGCTTTTTCTCTAAGATCAGGAACAAGACAAGAATAGAATCTTCTCTAAGATAAAGAATCTTCTCTAAGATCAGGAACAAGATAAGAATAACCACTCTCATCACTTGTACTCCTGAAAGGACTAGACTTCCTAGCCAAAGAAATTAGACAACAAAAAGAAATCAAAGGAATCCAAACCAGAAAGAAAGAAGTTATTTCTGTATACAAGTGACATGATTTCATATGTAGAAAACTCTAAAGATTCCACAAAAGAACTGTTAGAACACAATGAATTCAGTAAAGTTACAGGACACAAAAATCCAAAAAGGAAATTAAGAAAACAATCCCATTTACAATAATGTAAAAAAAGAATAAAATGCATAGGAATAAACCTAACCAAGGAAGTGAAATACTTATTACAGGTACTGAGAAGAACACATTTACAGTCACCACAGTCACCCTTGAAGCAAAAGAAGTTGTGCTGATCTGCTCCAATGTAGATGTACCATACAGCACAGTAGCTGCAATTGGAGCTACTGCTTGGTTAATGTTTTGGTACTTCACTCTCATCTACTATGACATGTTGATTTTTACAGAGGGCTTAGATAGGGGTACTATGAATTCTACCCACCCTGAATCCTTTACAATTTTGTTGGGATTTTGGCAATACTTTTAGTAAAACAAAGTGTGATTAGACAATTTTGTGTTCAACTGAGCAATCTATCAAGTACACAGTTAATGACAAACAATATTGAATATGCTAGAAAATAATTCATATTATTCCCATGAGCTATTTTTGTAGGATATTATGAGCTGTACTACTGTGAAATACAGTAGCTACCAGCTCTATGTAGCCAAAATGAATTTTAATTTCAATTAACAAAAATAAAATTATATTAAAAATTCAGCTCCTCATTACATTAGCCAGATTTCAAGTACTCAATAGATAACATCCACTAGAGCCTACCATATTTGACACCACCACATTTCCATCATTGGAGGAAGCTATACAGAACAGCACCGTGCTGAAGGATCAGCTTTATTAAACTAACTTTCATGCGTATCCGTGTGAAAAGACCACCAAACAGGCTGTGTGTGAGCAATAAAGCTTTTAATCACCTGGGTGCAGGCGGGCTGAGTCCGAAAAGAGTCAGTGAAGGGAGATAGGGTGGGGCTGTTTTATAGGATTTGGGTAGGCAAAGGAAAATGGGGGGCTGTTCTCTGGCAGGCAGGAGTGGGGGTCACAAGGTACTCAGTGGGGGAGCTTTTGAGCCAGGATGAGCCAGGAGAAGAATTTCACAAGACAATGTCATCAGTTAAGGCAGGAACAGGTCATTTTCACTTCTTTTGTGGTGGAATGTCATCAGTTAAGGCAGGAACAGGCCACCTGGATGTGTACGTGCAGGTCACAGGGGATATGATGGCTTAGCTTGGGCTCAGAGGCCTGACATTCCTGTCTTCTTATATTAATAAGAAAAATAAAATGAAATAGTGGTAAAGTGTTGGGACGGTGAAATTTTTGGGGGGTGGTATGGAGAGATAATGGGCGATGTTTCTCAGGCTGCTTTGAGCGGGATTAGGGGCAGTGTGGGAACCTAGAGTGGGAAAGATTAAGCTGAAGGGAGATCTTGTGGTAAGGGGTGATATTGTGGGGTTGTTGGAAGAAACATTTGTAGTATAGAATGATTGGCGATGGCCTGGATACGGTTTTGGATGAACTGAGAAACTAAACGGAAGATACAAGGTCCAAATAAAAGAAGGAGAAAAATGGTTATTAAAGGACTAAGAATTGGGAGGACCCAGGACATCCAATTGGAGAGTGCCCAAGGGGATTCAGCATAATTACTTGTTTGGTTGGCAAGTTTTGGGGCTCTATCCTTGAGTTTTTTTATGTTGTCATACACCAGGCCAGATTGATCTAGGTAAAAACAACACTCTTCATTTAAGAATATACACAGTCCTCCTTTTTCAGCAGTGAGTAAGTCAAGGCCTCGGCGGTTTTGGAGGACAACTGCAGCTAAAGAGTCAACTTGGGCCTGGAGGACTGATAAAGTTTGTGATATGTCTGTGATGCTAGCAGAGAAGTCATTAGACAGGCTACAGAAGGTCGTGACAGAGGTTGAAATGCCTGCTATTCCAGTACCGAGAGCAATAGTGGAGGCAGAAAGTCCTAAATGGACCATCAAGGGAATTAGTGGAATAACTCTTTTTTGTCATGTCGGTGTCATGCGAGGAACAAGGAGCTCTTCCGTCCCATTCGCAAATTGAATTTTGGGGGTAAGGAAAACTAGTGTGCATGTGCCTGTCCAATTAGCAGGTAGACGCATGTAGGTAGGGGATCCACAGAGGAAGAAGAGACCTTGTGTGAGGCAAAACTGGAGATGTAAAGTAAAAAGGTGAGAAGGAGTGCTGAAAGCGGTGTCTTGTACCCAGACTCCTAGGGATCCAGCTAGGGCGGCAGCTGTCAGAGGTTGTAATGGGGACTGATGGAGTAACTGCATAGAGGAGGAGGTTCAATTTTCATGGTGTATGAGAAAACGTTAAGTATCTATGAGCAAACTTTCACTGTTATTTTCGGGGCTGGGTATAAGTAAACAAGAAGAGGGCCTGGGAGGAGAGTCTGATGAGCAAGCAGAAGGTAGCCAAGGATGGAGTGAAATGCAGGGTAAGTGTCTTCCTAAACAATAATTACTGCTAACGTTTTTGAGTTTGTCAGTATTGATAGAAGTCTTGTCTGTAATATGGAGCTGGAAGGCTCCAATTGTTTCAGTGATGTGTGTAGTTGGGCTTCAGACATGAAGAGTAAAGGAACATCGAGAAGGTGAAAGATTACCTAGGGGAATTCCAGTGGGTCTTTGCTGAGAGATACATAAAGGAGCGGCCACAGGAATAGTAGTTTGTGTTGTGAGAGGTCCAAATATGGGGGGAGTAGAGTTAATATAAGGAGAAAGGTTTTTTAAATAAGTGCAGAGGAGGGCGGCAGCTTGCTGATGTGAAATGTCTGGGGAAGTCTTGCTGGACCTGTCTAGAAAGTAAATGAGTTCTTCAGGAGGGTAAAGGTGAGAGCTGTTAAAGGAAGTTCAGAGGTGTAAGGAGACAGGAGATGTTGCCCAGTCTGTCTGTAAGGCGGGGACAGCTGTGTAGGCACAGGAAGAAAGGGAAACACAAAGCCAGCAGTTGTTCACTAAGGAGGGATTAGAAGTGGCTAGGAGAGAATGGGCAAGGTTGATAGTGTGGTGAAGATAGCTGGGCAGAGGTAAAGGGTGGCATAAGAATAGGAATGAGAATAAGAGTGAGTATAAAAGTAAAGAATAGAACTTCATCAGGGTGGAAGTATTGGAGAGTGCCCTGACAGCAAAGATCATCTACACACTCTAAGAGGGAATTAAGAGTGGCAGTTTGGGGATAGCACCAAGAGATATCAGCTGTGATGGCTTGAAGAAACAGTGTAAACCGGCAGTGTAAACAAGAGTAGGGCATTTATAAGTAGTTGAGAATGGAGAATAGGAGTATGACTAGACAGAAAATAGTAGGGATGACAAGTTTTTTGGTGCTCGGCCCAAGTGGTGGGAGTGACATCGTAAAGCCCTGTTGAAAATGTAGGGTAAGGATGAACAGATCTAATAGAATGAAGGGATGTATTAGGCTCATAAGGGTTATCACTGTTCTTCAGAAATATGAGTGAGTTTAAGGGAAGTAGGGGAGAGTACTTGCGACTTCCAGGAGGAAGAGGAGGGATTAGGCTGGCAGTCCAATGGACACAGCTTTATTCTGGAATGGTGAACCCAGTGGGGAGGATCCTGCAGGCCGATGGCAATCGGGGTACTAGAGATGACTAAGTAGGGTCCGGTCCATCGAGGTTGTAGAGTTTGAGGGGTCAGATTCTTATAAAGAACTGATTGTCCAGCTAGGGTGTCTTCATATGGCTGGGGATCTGGAATAGGCAAGAGAAGATTAGCAGCCTGATGAATTTCCTATCTAGCCTGTTGGATGACTGGAAGATAGTCACCTAGAGAGCTGGTGTCTGGGATGAAGTTGGGGCCAAGCAAGAAAGTGCATCCATATAAAAGTTCAAAAGGACTGTACCCTGTAGCATCTCGAGGACAGGCTCTAATTCTGAGAAGGGCAAGAGGTAAAAGTATTGTCCAAGCCTTTTTAAGTTGGAGGCTGAGCTTGGTGAGGTGTGTCTTTAAAAGACCATTAGTGCATTCTACCTTTCCTGAAGATTGAGGATGGTAATGGATATGAAGGTTCCACTGAATACCAAGAGCCTGAGAAACTGCTTGGGTGATTTGACTAGTAAAGGCTGGTCCGTTATCAGACTGTATAGAGGTGGGAAGGCCAAACTGAGGAATTATGTCTGACAGAAGGGAAGAAATGACCACGGTGGCCTTCTCAGACCCTGTGGGAAAGTCCTCTACCCATCCAGTGAAAGTGTCTACCCAGACTAAGAGATATTTTAGTTTTCTGACTTGAGGCGTGTGAGTAAAGTCAATTTGCCAGTCCTGGGCAGGGGCAAATCCCTGAGCTCGATGTGTAGGAAAGGGAGGAGGCCTGATCAAGCCCCTGGGGA
Source organism: Homo sapiens (assembly GCF_000001405.40). Taxonomy (NCBI): domain Eukaryota; kingdom Metazoa; phylum Chordata; class Mammalia; order Primates; family Hominidae; genus Homo; species Homo sapiens. The sequence goes on along the minus strand of NC_000006.12, from coordinate 62,588,205 downwards.
AGGTGGTTCTGGAGGAATGTCTGGCCACTGCGGTTTAGGCATTTGGAACTTCTTGTGTGCTGGAGATGTGGCTGGGGGTTGTCTCACAGTGGAGGCAAGGAATTGCAACTTTTTTCTATTATTGTACACCTTGAAGGTGAGGTTAATTAAATCCTGTTGTGGGGTTTGAAGGCCGGAATTTAATTTTTGGAGTTTTATTTAATGTCAGGAGCAGATTGGGTAATAAAATGTATATTGAGAATAAGACAGCCTTTTGACCTTTTAGGGTCTAGGTCTGTAAAGTGTCTCAGCATTGCTGCTGAATGAGCCATGAACTGGGCTGGGTTTTTCATATTTGATGAAAGAGCCTAAATGCTCACTGATTTGGGAGAGGTCTGATAGAGAAAAAGGAGCATTAACCTTGACTATGCCTTTAGCTTCAGCCACCTTTTTAAGAGGAAATTTCTGAGCAGGTGGGGGAGGGCTACTCAGGGAATGAAACTGTAAGCCAGACTGGGTGTGAGGGGGGGAGGTGATAAAAAGATTATAGGGTGGAGGAGCAGAGGCTGAGGAAGAATTGGGACCTAGCTTGGCCTGGTGAGGAGCAGCCTGGGGAGGATGGGAGAGGTCAGATGGGTCTGTAGAAAAGGAAGATTAGAAAAACTCAGCAACCCTTGGGGTTGGGACTGAGAGGACAAGTGAGAGGGAAAGAAGGAAGATTTGGGACAAGTTGCACTGGGCACAGAGACTAGGGAGGGACCGATGTGTAACAGAATGCCTGGACATCAGGCACCTCAGACCGTTTGCCCATTTTACGACAAGAATTATTTAGATCTTGCAGGATGGAAAAATTGAAAGTGCCATTTTCTGGCTATTTGGAACTACTGTCAAGTTTGTATTGGGGTCAAGCAGCATTGCAGAAGAAAATAAGATGCTTACATTTTAGGTCAGGTGAGAGTTGAAGAGGTTTTAAGTTCTTAAAAACACCGGCTACGGGAGAAGAAGGAGGAATGGAGGGTGGAAGTTTGCCCATAGTGAAGGCAGCAAGCCCAGAGAAAAGAGAGTAGAGACATGGAGAGAAGGGGTTCGGGGGTTCTTACCCTCCAGAAAAGTGGGAAAGGGATCAGGGCACAGAGATATGAGGTCAGGGCATGGAAATAAGGGATCAGGGCACAGAGATATAAGAGGTTGGGGCACGGAAATAAGGGATCGGGACACAGAGATATAAGGGGTTGGGGTACTTGCCCCTCCCCTAGAAAAGTGGGACTTGCTGCTAAGGGTGAAGTAGAAGGGGTTGGGGGTTTCTTGCCCCCCAGAAAGGTGGAGAAGGGGTAGAGACATGGAGAGAAGGGGTTGGAGTACTTGCCCCTCCCACAGAAAAGCAGGACTTGCCGCTAAGGGTGAAGAACCAAGGCAGGCATCCCTGCGTGGTCTGACACCTCTGAAACATGGGTGAATAATCAGAGAGGCATCTCTGTGATGATTAAACACCAAGGGAAGGCTGCCTTCCTAGTCCATGACTGGCGCCGGAGTTTTGGGTCCACGGATAAAATGTGTCTCCTTTGTCTCTACCAGAAAATGAAAGGAACTGAAATTAAGAGCAGGGAGAGATTGAAGTGTGGCACCGAGATTGAAAGGAGAAAGAGGTTGAGGGATAGTGAGGGAGGTTGGAGAAGAGAGTAAAAAGAGGCCACTTACTGGATTTCAAATTGGTGAGATGTTTCTTGGGCTGGTTAGTCTGAGGACCTGAGGTCGTAGGTGGATCTTTCTCATGGAGCAAAGAGCAGGAGGACAGGGGATTGATCTCCCAAGGGAGGTCCCCAGATCCGAGTCACGGTACCAAATTTCACACGCATCTGTGTGAAGAGACCACCAAACAGGCTTTGTGTGAGCAACAAAGCTTTTAATCACCTGGGTGCAGGCGGGCTGAGTCCCAAAAGAGAGTCAGTGAAGAGAGATAGGTGTGGGGCCGTTTTGTAGGATTTGGGTAGGTAAAGGAAAAAGGGGGGTTGTTCTCTGGTGGGCAGGAATGGGGGTGACAAGGTACTCAGTGGGGGAGCCTTTGAGCCAGGATGAGCCAGGAGAAGGAATTTCACAAGACAATGTCATCAGTTAAGGCAGGAACAGGCCATTTTCACTTCTTTTGTGGTGGAATGTCATCAGTTAAGGCAGGAACAGGCCATTTTCACTTCTTTTGTGGTGGAATGTCATCAGTTAAGGCAGGAACCCACCATCTGGATGTGTACGTGCAGGTCAGGGGATATGATGGCTTAGCTTGGGCTCAGAGGCCTGACACTAATGTGATTAGGAAACCTCAACACTGGGACTGTTGACGAACATCAAATATATTTAATAGGTGGAAAACATTCATATTTGGAAATGAAATTCATATTTGGAAATAAAATTACACAAATATAGGTGGCATATATACACCATGGAATAATATGCAGCCATAAAAATGATGAGTTCATGTCCTTTGTAGGGACATGGATGAAACTGGAAGCCATCATTCTCAGCAAACCATTACAAGGCCAAAAAACCAAACACTGCATGTTCTCACTCTTAGGTGGGAATTGAACAATGAGAACACTTGGACACAGAAAGAGAAACATCACACACCAGGGCCTGTTGTGGGGTGGGGGGTGGGGGGAAGGATAGCATTAGGAGATATACCTAATGTAAATGACAAGTTAATGGGTGCAGCACACCAACATGGCACATGTATACATATGTAACAAGCCTGCACATTGTGCACATTTACCCTAGAAGTTAAAGTATAATAAAAATATATATATAAATAAAATAAAATGTTCTAACAATAAAAAAGAATAATCCAAGTGATTTTCATTTAGGTAATTGGTGGCAGATAAAATGTCACTTAAATCCAATAAATAGCAATATGTTAAGTATATTAAATGATAAACATTAAGTAATATAATGTCATTAAATAAAATTGGGTGGTACAGGAAAAAGAACAGAGGTAGACATAGAGGTAACAAATAAATTTCCTTTGCCAGAGTAAGAAATCAGTAGACAGTGTCTAAAAACAAGAAACAAAATAAATTATATGCAAATAGTATTAATGTAACCTCTAGAATAAAAATGTGAACTGTATTAAATATTAGAACTAAATCATCACACAAAAACAAACACATATTATTTAAAGAGTTAGATAAAGTGAAAGTAATATTTACATATATACTGGTTGTATCAATAATGTAAATGAGAATGGCTCACCTATTAAAATTATTTCTACATTGGCTCACAAATTTTGTGCTATAGACATCTACCTATGAAAGTTGATTCTTAAACATTAAAATAAACAGGTGAGCAAAAGCCTACAGGTGACTGCAAACAAAATGAAAGTGGAATTTTCTGTTATCAGAAATGTTAGATTTTGGTGAGAAAATATTGAATGAAGTAAACATACCCTTATTCATTACAATTCACAATGGTTCTAACAGTCTGTGTATGTATTTGCACCAAATAACATGAAACCTTTAAAGACTAAATGATCTCAATAGTTGATATCAAGGTTCACTGATATGTTCAGAAACATAGAAAAACAAAGGAAACTTACAAATGCTTTCTATGAAATGAGTATAATAGTTGATAACACAACTTTTAAAATATTGGAAACAAATTATTATTGTAGTTATTACATTATGAATGTTTTTCTTATAATAGCATTTTCAGTATATTGGTAATGGTAACTGAAATTTTGTGTTGAAAAGGATTCTGAGGTGCATCTGAACAGAGTGAATGTTTTTATTAAATCTTATTCCCTATCATGAGGAAAAACATAAGGAATCATTGATCAGATAATTATAATTCCTTACTTATGAAAAAATAATTCTGTGTAAGTATAGGAAAATTGAATTTTATTTTACATTTACATATGTGCATATGTACATAAAATCTATACACACAAACATACATATATACATATATGTATGTGTATACACAAACATACATATATACATATATGTATGTGTATACACAAACATATACACATATATACAGGTGTGTGTGTGTGTGTGTGTGTAGAGAAAGAGAGAAATACATTTTACTGAACTCTAGTCCTGAATTAGGAAGTTATATGAATCAGCAAGTTATGTGAAGCATATGTAACAAAACTACCACTTTGGGATTCAACCTGGATTTATATCCATACTCATACAAAGATGAGTTCCTGTCCTCACAAAGATAACAATCTCAACTCACACTTTCTTACATTTACATTTTTCTGTATTTGAAAAGAATCACATTCCGCTTTCATAGAGAAAAGGAAAGGTATTTGCAATTTAAACAACTTCAGGAAAACATTATGGTTGTTATTGATTACACACAGAAACAAATATAGTGTAGGTCAAATTGTTCAATAAATAAAAGTGACTGTTCAATAACTAAAAGTAAAAAAATATATACATATATGATTTGTCACTGAGTGCTAGACATTGAATTCCTAGAATTCCTAGTCATTGAATTCCTAGAAGCTTTTCATAATGCAATTTAGGTGATGCATAGAATAGCCATTAAAATTTTAATCTTGGCATGGAACTATCCCTCAGTGGATAAGATTGAATAAATTGGGTATAGTAAGATTATAATTTTTCCAGATATTTGAAAGTTGCATATCACATATATTGCCTATGGAGTAACACTTTCCATTGCAATTTTCAAGGCTTTTCATATACATGTGATTTTATCTGACACTTAATTTCATTATTTTTAAATTTCTGTTCAATCCTACAGTATGACATTGATCAGTATATATACTGTTACAATGATCAAAGCATAAAGAAGTGATTTAGAAAATGTATCCCTATTGTTGTTTGAAATTTTTAAAAAAGATTGTAAAAAGTATGCATAGAATCAACGGAAAAACACTGAATCTGACAAAGTTGTCCTTTCAATAAGAGGAACTCATGATATTTTTGTATTTTATTATAGGTCATTAAAAATGCGTATACTTAGTCCTGAAAAATAAGCCATGTAAACACCTGGCATTATTTTCCCCCTCTTCCTATGACTAGATATGGCATTTATTCAAAGTTGTTTTAATGTGACCATTCCTCACTTTCTATTTAATTCGTTGGACCTAGATTCCTTGGTTTATCCTTCCCTATACAACTATCGCTTAATCTTCTCTTATTGTTATCCAATTGACCACTAGAATCTTACCTTCCATGTTGGATTTCTTTCTGTATAGTTAAGCGATTTAATAGGCTATGCTGAACTGCTTCTCCTTCATTATGTTTTCATTACAGAAACATTTCCTGATTGTCAATTTTACTAAGGAATGTGGGAAATGCATTAAAAAAACAAAACAGCCCTACAGTGATAAGAACTATATATCAGTGAAACACTAGAGACCAATTAAAAGGCAACAAGTCAGTACGCCTGTGATTATGTGGTATAATCAATATGCATGAGTACCAGGAGAATAAAATATTAGGGAAAATAAGTCTGGAATGTAATTAGGTCTAATTACATTCCCTGATAATAAGCCTGATTGTCCGGTGGTAATTTTACATTTATTATTTGAGGTAATAAGGATGTGGTTTACCAATTTTTCATTCCTTGCTGTAAGGAAATCCCTGCAATGGATTGTCTTATTTGATAGAGAGTATTCTCAGTATTAGTTCTCTCTCTGTGGCTAGGAATTGACAGAATTTTGACTTCTCAGTAAATGTCTTGTATGCCCATGGTATACATTTTTTTAAAAGGTTAAAATAGATATCGTGTAAACATGAGATGATTCTGGGCATTGTAGATGAAAAAACATAGCCTATTTATATCTTGCTACTTTAACTTTGAACTAGAAAAACAGAGATTAAAATATATTTTTCTTATTAAATATGAATGGTAAGAGAGGAACAAAAACTTATCATCATTTAGGGAAAGTATAGTAACAATTTAAAAATCATCATTACCTTTAGTACCTTTTCATTTTTTATATTTAAGCTATAATAAAGAACAAAAGAACTTAAGGTAAAAGTAAAATTTCTAGTCTTGCCATTTTCTTCAAAAACTAAAAGTCTATGTGAATCCGACACTCCAGAGTAGGCCAATATAAATATGTAGTGACATTCTACGCATGAAAACATGCACAAATCACAAACTTATATTACATATATTACATGTACACAAACTTGCTTGATTGATGAGAAAGCATATTTAGGGTTTTTTCCTTTGTATTTTTCCAAGCATTTATCAAAAAATAGTATATAATTTTATACTTTTGTTAACAGTGTCTGAGAGACTGCCTTTGTTCATTCATATCAAATCTAAATATATTTTAAGATTTTGTTTAGGTGAATAATACTTCATTGTTATTTTATTTTGCATTGTTTAATAATAATAAAAGTCATCATTTTTTCAAGTTCTTTTTCCATTTATATTTTGTTTTATTTTGCTGTTTTGTACATTGAGCTGTCAATCCTTACCTTATTGGTGCATTTGTGTTTTTGTATATCCATAAATTTATCTAGTTAGCTTTCATATTTTTCTCAGGTTCTCATTTGCCTTTGATTTTTGGTAATTATTTTATTTAGGACCTTTTAATTTTATTCTATCAAATTTGAAAGATAGTAACTCCTTTTTAGAAATATCTTGCTTTCTCTTAAGTATTATAAACATGTTCTCCGCTAATGTACACTGTATTATGTTATGTCAAAAATAACAAAAGTGTATTTGACAAACAGGTGTTTACATTTACATTTTAAGTGTTAAAAATAGCTACAAAATTCTAGGCTTGTTGGTATACCAAAGCTACAGAAGGCCAGGCCAAATTTACATAAATGACAGAAATCTATTGCCAATTACTGATTTGTATGAATTAGTGAACAAGCCAGCAAACATGATTGAAAATGAAGATCATATCACAAAGTGTACTGTGTTCATTTATCTTGACAAATGTAGTTTGGTAACAATTCTTTAATAATGCTTCAGGTAGACCAGTAAATTTCTTCTAACACATTTTGTGAAAATAGGTTAGTGTGAATGATAATTAGTTCTCAGCTAATGATTTGCTGCCGAGAAATGGAGGAAGACTGCTAGATATGCAATGAGAATTATGAGGTTTGCAGGCTGTGGAAATGATACTTAACAGGTTTCACTTAATGGGAGAACTATCTTTTCTTTTTTGGAGTAGGATGAAATTTCATGACTATAATTTTAAAAGCCTATGGTGAAATGAGTGTCACTGTAACTGAATATGAAATATTAATGAATGAAAAACAGTTGCAATAACTAAATATATCTATGACTGCAGGGAAAAAGCTCAGTATACAAAGTATTTGTATTCACAAAGGCTATTTTATACTATTTTACATTCAATACCTATCTTTAGTTTTTCTATGAAGGAAAATTTTGTCTTTTTGCTTCCATCTATCTGATATAGACTTTCTTGCAAAAGCTTTGCTATGTTAACAGAAGTTCATAAAATTAAAAAAGAAACTAATTTTGATTCACATTAGACTTTAGGAAAAGCATTTTACAAGGTCCCCCATGATAAGCATTACCGTATGATTAAACACATGATTTTGAAAAAAGATAGTTCATTCATAAACAGTGTTTGATGTAGATAAAATTAGGATGGAAACTATCAACAGATTAATGGTACGTTGTACCAGCAAATCATGTGTTCTGCAAATTGTAGGTTTCATTTTTCTTCTGCCTCTCATTACACACATACTTAAAATATCTCAGTTTCTTTCCTAAAGGAAAACATGAGTTATCTAGAAATAAAAATTTCTTCAAATTTCCTTTCCTTCTTTTTTAAATACATATATTATGGGTCTCTTCTTTTGAGTCAGTGGTACATGGGGTCTTCTATTAAACTTTCCTCTTTCCTTTTCTTTCTCCTCTCCTCTCATTGTCTCTCCTCTCTTTTCTCTTTCTTTACAATGTTATGATTTTTTCCACTACTCTATTTCATTTTTTTAAAAAAAAACACAGAATGCTTGTTTATAGTCCATTTTTATGCTGCCGATAAAGACATAGCCAAGATGTTTTATAAAGAAAAAGAGATTTAATGGACTCACAGTTCCACGTAGTTGGGAGGCCTCACAATCATGGTGGAAGGCAAAAGCCATGTCTTATATGGCAGCAGACAAGAGAGAATGAAGGCCAAGCAAAAGGGGTTTCCCCTTATAAAATCATCAGATCTCATGAGACTTATCACTACAATGAGAACAGTAAGGGGGAAACCACCCCCATGTTTCAATTATCTCCCACCATGTCTCTCCCATAACATGTGGGAATTATGGGAGCTATATTTCAAGATGAGATTTGGGTAGGGACACAGCCAAACCATATCAATGTGAAACATAGTAGGATTCAAAAATTTAAAGATGTGTGCATTAAAGATAAATAAATTAAATTCATTATCTCTGCCCATAATGCATAAATGTTTGCTGTCCAGAGGAATAATCTTATATTCAGGTTTCTAAGGGCAGTACTAATTTGTTCCTGTTTTCCAAATGTAACTATGATAGCACTTCCTTTGATTCTCAAAAATGTCCCAATGGGAGGATAAATGGTATGTCCACCTTGGATATTGAAAATATTGTGGTCATGGCCTTGCTTTAGCAGATATAATTACAACTAGTGCTTTTACTTCTCATCTTTCCATCACTTCAAACTCAATAAATTTTATCCACAACTTAGTTCAAATAAGAGAATTCAGAGATATTAAAATTTCAGCAATAGATGGAAAATTCCCAATTCATTAAGAATTAATTCAAGATTTTGTCTTTAAAATAATCCTTGAATATAAAAACATTTTGCCATGTAGAATATTGAAATTTAGTCAGGTTTAATTCAGAAACAGATCAATAAATGAAATAATTTAAAAAGTTTATTCCACTATTAGAGTTTTAGTAGTTGTTTTCTAATTTTCTTTAATATATTCATTGCCTGTGGAATCATAAAATTTTTTGTTTGTGTTAAGTTTTGTTTCGATTTCTTTTACCAATTTGAAGGAAAATAGATGTTAGAAAACCAGAAGGGGTGATTGAACCCATTTTCACTAGTTTTGTTGTCTAATAAATAAACAGAAAGAGTGAACAAATAAATATAAGGTTTTAAAAAAAGATTTTATCTTCTATTCTAAACAAATATTAATTCATTTTATTTGACCAATATTAAATATTTGATTTGAAAAAATATTTTCAACATAATTATGATTAGTTATGCAGAGAGCCACTTCAAATGTGTATGTATACCTCAAAGAATTTACTATGAATAGGACACAAATTCATAATATGTAGTACCAAGGGAGTAAGGCTCATTTTCAAAAGTATGTCTGCTTGCTAATTAGCCACAAATATTGAAGACAAAGTTTACCTCATTGCTGTGGAATTAATCATACTGCCCTTTATTTAATGTGAAATGCTATTTCCACACACCTTTCTATTGTACCCAAAATGGAGTATAATTCACATTCTCCACAGAAATAACATTATATGTTTTAGACATGAAGTCCTTGCCTGTGCCTATGTCCTGAATGGTAATGCCTAGGTTTTCTTCTAGGGTTTTTATGGTTTTAGGTCTAACGTTTAAGTCTTTAATCCATCTTGAATTGATTTTTGTATAAGGTGTAAGGAAGGGATCCAGTTTCAGCTTTCTACATATGGCTAGCCAGTTTTCCCAGCACCGTTAATGGCAACAAAAGCCAAAATTGACAAATGGGATCTAATTAAACTAAAGAGCTTCCGCACAGCAAAAGAAACTACCATCAGAGTGAACAGGCAACCCACAAAATGGGAGAAAATTTTCACAACCTACTCATCTGACAAAGGGCTAATATCCAGAATCTACAATGAACTCCAACAAATTTACAAGAAAAAAACAAACAACCCCATCAAAAAGTGGGCAAAGGATATGAACAGACACTTCTCAAAAGAAGACATTTATGCAGCCAAAAGACACATGAAGAAATGCTCACCATCACTGGCCATCAGAGAAATGCAAATCAAAACCACAATGAGATATCATCTCACACCAGTTAGAATGGCAATCATTAAAAAGTCAGGAAACAACAGGTGTTGGAGAGGATGTGGAGAAATAGGAACACTTTTACACTGTTGGTGGGACTGTAAACTAGTTCATCCCTCGTGGAAGTCAGTGTGGCAATTCCTCAGGGATCTAGAACTAGAAATACCATTTGACCCAGCCACCCCATTACTGGGTATATACCCAAAGGACTATAAATCATGCTGCTATAAAGACACATGAACACATATGTTTATTGCGGCATTATTCACAATAGCAAAGACTTGGAACCAACCCAAATGTCCAACAATGATAGACTGGATTAAGAAAATGTGGCACATATACACCGTGGAATACTATGCAGCCATAAAAAATGATGAGTTCATGTCCTTTGTAGGGACATGGATGAAATTGGAAATCATCATTCTCAGTAAACTATCACAAGAACAAAAAACCAAACACCGCATATTCTCACTCATAGGTGGGAACTGAACAATGGGAACACATGGACACAGGAAGGGGAACATCACACTCTGGGGACTGTGGTGGGGTGGGGGGAGGGGGGAGGGATAGCATTGGGAAATATACCTAATGCTAGATGACGAGTTAGTGGGTACAGTGTACCAGCATGTCACATGTATACATATGTAACTAACCTGCACATTGTGCACATGTACCCTAAAACTTAAAGTATAACAATAAAACAAACAAACAAAAAAGATTCTAATTAGACTTTACTGAATATTACAATAAAAGTAATAAATTATCCTTAAAAAAAAAAGAAATAACATTATATTCACCATAGTATTTTGGTTTCCCGAATTTATGCTTCATTACTTTTTATTTGTCTGAGTATATTGGATACATATAGTCATCTATAATTTTCAAAGTGAGATGCATAAGGACAGTAAAATCTAATATGGGTTTCTTATTTTTAGAGAGGCAAGAAACACATCAATCACTAGCCCAGAAACATTGTAATGGTAAAAGAAATACATCCAGACCACTATCAACTTACACTATTGATTAGAGAGGAAAAACATAAAAGCTTTACTGAGCTTGCAGGAAGCAAAAATGTGGTTATAGACACAAATATCTTTTCTCAGACCAAGGAGGCATTCATATTCTAGAAAAAAAATGCCTAAGAAAGAAATAATATGAGAAGGATAGCTGCCAACCCCAAATTTATTCATACATCAAACATGACATATAAATATGTCTTCTATTTTTTTATTGGGAACATTCAAAGGGAAAAATAGTTTCACTATGTCTGTTACGATCCTATAACATTATGCACATTTCATAACGTTAATGTAATTATGTCCATAATTTTATACAAAAATGAGATATCATATTTCTTAACTTCATTAAATAAAACATATTTTTATCAGATACATTATACATATTGAGAGTAAGTATTTTTTCCTTTAAATTAATTAATTCATTCAAACCATCTACCATACAAGCACAATTAGGTTCTGGTGAGAATTGATAATTGAGTTATGGTTACTGTCCTCCAGCCACTCAAAATTTGTTCATTGCTTAGCAGACTGTCATTCTAAGTGTTTCAGTTTGAAAACACAATCAAATTATTCTTATTTCAAAGATATTATTAGGAAAATTAGCTTCAAAACTTAGTGGCGTTATTTACTTTTAGAAACAGTATCATTTAAAATATAGGTGACCTTCACTTTGCATGATACAATATATGTGTTTCAGTTAACACCATTTAGTTAAATAACACCAGTTCTCTAGTAATACAATTCAAATTTCAGCTACTAACATATGTTAACTGTGAGTAATTACATAAAGTATAAACTTTCCTTCTGGCCGTTTGGTATACAAACCATTATATAAATAACAAAAGTGCATTCTAATCAGTGACCCAATCACATACGGTCATGTGACACATGGGGTTTGGTCAATGAAGAGTAACATATGCAATAATGGTCTCATAAGATTATAATACAGCTGAAAAATTTTCATCACCTAGTGACATGGTAGCCCTTATAATGTCATAGTGCAATGCATTACTCACATGTTTGTGGTGATGCTGATGTAAACAAACCTACTGTGTTGCTAGGCATATAAAAGTATAGCACATACAATTAGATACAGTACACAATACATTATAATAAATGACTGTTAGTGGCTTATGCATTTACTACACAATATTTTTATCATTTTATTTGGTGTACTCCTTCACATAAAAAAATAGTTAACTGTAAATTAGCAGCCTCTGGCATTTCCTTCAGAAGGTATTCCAGAAGAAGACATTGTTGTCATGGGAGGTAACTCCGCATGTGTTATTGCCTCTGAAAACCTTCCAGTGGGACAAGATGTGAAGGTGAATGACAGTGATATTGATGCTTCTGACCCTGTGCAGACCTCAACTAATGTGTGCGTTTCTGTCTTAGGTTTTAACAAAAAAGTTTATTTTTTTTTCAAATTTTAAAATAGAAAAAAGCTTATAGAGTAAGGATATAAAGAGAATATTTTTGTACAGCTGCACAATATGTTTGTGTTTTAAGCTGTGTTATAACAAAAGAGTCAAAGAGTTGAAAAAAGTTAAAGATCATAAAAAAAAGTTACAGTAACCTAAGGTTAACTTATTAGTAAAAAAAAAAATGTTTTTTTCATTCAGTGTAGCCTAAGAGTACAGTGTTTATAAAGTCTACAGTAGTATATAGTAATGTCCTAGGCCTTCACATTCACTCATCACTCACGCACCAACTCACCAAGAGCAGCTTCCAGTTCTCTAAGCTCTATTCACGGTAAGCTCCCTATACAGATAAACCATTTTTAAGTCTTTTTATACAGTATTTTTACTGTACCTTTTTATGTTTAAATGTCTAGATGCATAAATACTTGGCATTGTGTTACAATTGCCTACAGTATTCAGTACAGTAACATGTTGTACAGGTTTATAGCCTAGGAGCAATAGGATATAGCATATAGCCTAGATGTGTGATAGCCTATACCATCTAGGTGTTTGTAAGTATCCTCTATGATGATTGTACAAAAACAAAATCACTTAATGACATATTTCTCAGGAAGTATCGCCATCATTAAGTGATACATGGCTATTATTTCCTTCAAAAACTTTTGGCAATACACTGCACATCTGTTATTCAGCTCACATACAGAGAGCAAAGTGTATAGTTGTGTTTCTTTATCTCTTAGATGTAGAAAGAGTCTAAGCAAACTAATAACTTTCAAGTACTACTACCATTGGAAAATGTTCCAGGTCACCTTGATTCTCTTTGTAGCATGAATGAAAATGTGAACATTTAATTTTTACCCCAAATGCAACTTCATCAATCCAATCAATGGGCCTGGAATTTATTTCAACTTTGCCCATTATTACAAATTGACTTTTGGAAAGGCTATTAATGCTATGAAGGAAGATCACGGAGTTTTTTTGTTTTTTTTTTTTTTTTTTTTTTTTTGCTGAATTTTGGAGAAAATATGACATAAGGCATAAAGCAATGGAAAACATCCAAGTATTGGCAGAAAGTAATAGGAAGTAAGATGCATGCAGTATGGCATAATTTTACTCTACCATGCAAATAACTTTAAAGGATATGAGTCAAATGTAAATGAGGTTATAGCAGAAACAGGTAACTGTTGGAATGTTAACACTGCAGCTATTTGAGGGACACTAGATACGCATCCAGAAGAACTTAGTGAAGGCCGACTTATAAACATAAGTGAGGAAAAATGTGATTGTGATGAAAAAGATGAAGATGTCCCATAATTGACATAGGCACTTCTGGAGGTTTCTCAGAGGTATTTCATGACATTGAAGAAACAAAAGATAAAGTATTGGAAGTGGATCCAGATTAGAAAAGAGTATGACAGTTCACAAAGTATAGAACAGATGCTCATTCCATATTGCAAATTATGCAAAAAGAAGGAGCTAAAGACTATTCACTGTGTGTGCAAACTACTATTGACATGTATTTTTATAAGACATAAAACACTTTAATTTAAATGTTCTCATTATTTTAAATTACAGCATAAATATTACAAATTTACTATTTTTCATTTCTGTGTACATTTATAATTGGCATATTTTAATATTTCGGCAAAAATTGTTAAAGGTAATGGAACAATCATAAATTTCTCATTGGCTATTAAGATCACTTTTAAGATCATTCAGCTTGCACAGTCATTTTTATTATGATACAATACTATGCAAATAGAGGACTTCCTAGATTTACATTGTTTAAAATAAAAAATAGTCATGAATCAATGAAACATTTTAATTTACATTTTCTTTTAAAAATCCTTTTTTCCTTCATTATTTTTTCAAGATTCACTTTTTGACAGAGAATAGGCTATACATACAATGTTAGTCACATAAAATATGCATTTTTAAAACATTCTAACCAATGAACAATAGTACAGTTTTTGAGAAACTAAAAGCCAGTGACCTGCCATGTTATCTGAGATCCCAGAAAAATAAGAGTAATGAGCATTTATTAGCAGCTATCTTTCTAATATTTTATTACAGAGACATCTGGCAGAAGGTTTTCACATGTTAGTAAAGGTAAGTCACATCAAATAATATGGAAACCTAGACTAAATATAATGAAAATGGGTCAAAAATAAAGCTATCTATGAATACAATTTTTGTTTAAAATATTTAGCATATATTTTATGGAAGGTAATATGCACATAAAGATGGTTTTTATTTGTTAGATATACAATTTCATTAAATTTGTTTATGCACTGAATTTTCACACCTCAATTTATGTGTGTGTCTTTGTGTATGTATATATATGTATGCGTATGTGAAAATTATACTATACTCCTTCATCCAAACTATAAACATTTCGTTTCTAAGCTTCTCAGACCAAGTATATCTAGGTTTGACCATGATTACACTTTATTCCTAGAATCGTGCAACTGAAAAATGGGAATGGAAATGAATTTGAGGGAGATCATTTGATAATCATAAGGGTGATATATTACAATTTTCTAAACCATGCAAATTCCATTGTTCCTTTTTCTTGTAATTACTGGTTTCATATAAATATTTAGGCATTTCTGATATTATTCCAACACTTAGACATTTCTTAGACCATTACAGTAGCTATAAGTAAAGAAAAGTACAGCTCTGAGGTAAGAAAACTGCTTTCAGGAAAGATTCATCACAACTAAAGAATAATTAAGCATGTGGAAATGTCCATTCATCTGTTCATTGCATTAGGTGCCCAATAATTTGTGCCTTCAATTATTACTTTCCATATTGTTTTTCACACAATTTTTCCATTTATTCCACTTCTCTGCATTCCATCCTATTTTTTTTTTCTTTTTTCCTTTGCCATTATCCTCCTTTTACCCTTTCAATTTCTCTTTGGTTCCACTTGAGTGTATTATTAGAGTAAGGTAATCATTTTAGGTGCCTCGAATATGCAAGTTTGGACTTGCATTCCAAGACCCCCAGTGCATGCCTGAAACTGCAGATAGTAGCAAACCCAATATACACTTTGTTTTTTCCTATATATACATACCTAAGATAAAGTTTAATTTATAAATTAGGCACAGTAAGAGATGAACAATAATAACTAATAATAAAGTAGAGCAATTATAACAACAAACTGTAATAAAAGTTACGTAAAAGTGGTCTCTCACAAAAATACCTTATTGTACTGCATTGTGTGTATTATTAGACCTCATGTGACTGCAGGTCACTGAAACCACGGGAAGCAAAACCAAAGATGAGGGGTCACTACTGTAATATAAAATGTTCATATAAGTGAGCTACTCAGAGAAGACCAAAGAGACCTGAAATCCAAAGTGACAAGAAGTCTGTACAACAAAAGAGCATTTATTTCAGAAATGGTAATAGGTTTGTATCTTCCTCCCCTTTTTGTTCTTACTTTTTTTTTTTTTTTTGAGACTGAGTCTCACTCTGTAGCCCAGGCTGGAGTGCAGTGGTGCGATCTTGGCTCACTGCAAGCTCTGGCTCCCAGGTTCATGCCATTCTCCTGCCTCAGCCTCCAGAGTAGCTGGGACTACAGGCGCCCGCCACCGCACCCGGCTAATTTTTTGTGTTTTTAGTAGACAAGGTTTCACTGTGTTAGCCAGGATGGTCTTGATCTCCTGACCTAATGATCCTCCTGCCTCGGCCTCCCAAAGGGCTGGGATTACGTGTTCTTACTTTTGATCCCTTTGGTCTTCCTCTTCCCATAAGCACACAAACATATTATAAGCATTTGATGGCATTGTTTTCTGATTGTTGGTTCTCAAAATTGTTTACAGGATCTAGAATCTCCGGGGGTCAGAGGTTAAATTCTATAATGGCTTTGGCACTTAAAAGTTGGGCCTCCTCGGCTGAGTGTGGTGGCATATACCTGTAATCCCAGAACTTTGCGAGGCTAAGGCAGGTGGATCGCTTGAGGTCAAGAGTTTGAGACCAGCCTGGCCAACATGGTGAAGCCCCCTCTCTACTGAAAATACAAAAATTAACTGGGAGTGGTGGTGCATGCTTGTAGTCCCTGGTACTCAGGAGGCTGAGGCAGGAGAATTACTTGAACCCTGGGGGCAGATGTTGCAGTGAGCTGAGATGGTGCCACTGCACTCCAGCCTGGGCGACAGAGTGAGAGTCTGTCTAAAAAAAAAAAAATAGAAAAAAAGTTGGACCTCCTAAAGCCTGGTATAGAAAAAGTGAACATGGTTTTTAGTGCTCACAGAGGATTATTGATTAATTTATTATTCTGTCAAGTGCTTACACCCATGGATATCTATAGAGCTCTGTGGAGACATTTTCAAAATACGAAGTTTTGTCTGACATATTTATATGTTTCAGTTTTATTTTTATACAAATGCTCTAATCCCTTGGAATTAAAAAAAAGTCAAAAAATTCAGGTTAACTAAAAAAATGTATTTTCTTTGAGTGAAAAACACCTAAAAATAGAAAAAAAGGATTGAATGACCATTACAGGCTGCATTCAAGATGTATTTCTTTTGTGTCAGTTACTAGGAAAACATGAAGAAACATATGCAGCCAAGTTACACCAGAGACTCATTGCAAAGAAATGCCACAGCTGATAGACAAGCCAGTGAGTAGGTTGTTCCCAAAGGAAAGACTGGAGCAGATATTTAAATGCAAGTTGACAGAGATCTTCCAGAATGTCTAACTGATCATGATCAAGTGGAATCCTGACTTTAATTATGAGGGAGAAAGAAACAATAGTGTATTTAAACTATCTGAATATAATTCTAATGAGTGAAGCATAGAAAATACAATCATTAAATATAATTTCATCAGCCTGTACTACATACAGACAGGTTAAAAATCTCAATGACAATTCTGAGTACAGTATAATGAAATAGATAAGGAATACGTGTGTTTCCCCCTGAGAAATTATAATGTGGAATGCTTTTGTTGCCTATTTAGATCTGCTTGTGGTTCCATTGCATAGGTTGTAATTTTGTGGTATTTAGCACTCAACTCTAGGTATATAAATCCCAAAAGAGTGAAGTTTAGATAGAATGGGTTTACATTCATTCATTAAAAAAATAGACATTGAGTTCTTACTATGTTATACATAATTTTCTTGAATTCATTGAAGTAGCAAAAAAGCAATGTACCATGCATCCTATGCAGAGAAAAAGGGGATATGAAAAAGAAAGGAAACAGTATCAGACTTTTGATCAACCTCTTAGATATCTGCATTTTAACCATGCCAGATTCACGCAGGCTTTGCAGCATCACCTACTAGGACAAGAGAGTCATAATATCTGAGCCTGGAAACAGTATACCAGGTGAATAACACTCTTAACCTCTACCTGTTGCCTGGGTTCTTCCCATTGGCTTCTAGACATACTCAAATCTTTACCATTGAAAACAGATACACCTTGTTATAGCCACTTTTCCCCTCATTCTCCTCCAGCTACTTTGCTAGCTTTCTATTCTGCCTCTTAGCTCAAATTGTAGGAAGTTTTCTAAAATGCTGTCTCCATGTTTTTCAACATACTCTCATTACGATATTATCTATGTACTGGTAAGAGTGTAAGTCTGGTTGCTACAATAGAGATCCAAAATTAACAAAGGTTTAAAAAAAGTGAATTATATTTTGCTTATAAAAATCGAAGCTGATGGCCAGGCGAGGTGGCCCACGCCTGTAATCCCAGCACTTTGGGAGGCCGAGGAGGGTGGATCACCCGAGGTTGGGAGCTGGAGACCAGCCTGACCAACATGGAGAAAACCTATCTCTACTAAAAAATACAAAAAAAAAAAAAATTAGCTAGGCGTGGTGACGCATGCCTGTAATCCCAGCTACTCGGGAGGCTGAGGCAGGAGAATCTCTTGAACCCGGGAGGCGGAGATTGCGCAGTGAGCCCAGGTTGTGCCACTGCACTCCAGCCTGGGCAACAAGAGCAAAACTCCATCTCAAAAAAAAAAAAAAAAAAAAAACCTGGTGTGACATCATCCTTCTGATAAAATTTCAAAACTCATGTTTATTCTCTCTTATTCTGATGTTTATAAAGTTTTGCCTTTATCTGCATGGTCAAAGGTAGCATACTATTATGTTCACATCCCAGTCACTGGACAAGGGAAAAGGAAAAAGGAAAAGCATTATCAGGAAGTTCTGTTATGTTATCTATAAATTAACAACATGATAACATGTAGTTACAATGGTGGTTGGGAAATGTTTGCTTAATTTTGTAGGTGCACAGAGAAAAATAGGAAGTTTTATTATCCTGCAAGAGAAAATAGCATATGGAAGACATGTAGCAGAATCTGCCAATACTCCCGTTTTATATTTCCATCACTCCTACAAAATAACTTTTACTGGGGTAAGTGATTATGTCCATAAATCTAAATCAAATGGGTAGTTTCTTCATCCTCCCCTTGTAGAATCTCTCAACAAAAATCGGCAGTTTATTTCCTTCTTAAAATATTTTTAGTTCAACTTCTATGAGCTAAGTCTCCACATTTCCTCTGATTTATCCATCATATACTTTGCAGATTCATTTTCTTCTATCTATGAAGAATCAGAGTTCGTTATGGTAATGCTAGACCATTCTTTTTTTTTTTTTTCACCGTATTCTACCTTCATAAAACCTCATTATATCTCTGGTTTCAAACACAACCTGTAATCAAATGTCTTATATATTTCTCCTCTTTACTCCACTGATTTATGCCACCAAAACCTAGGCATCTTCCAATGCTCCTCATCCCTGTTAATGGCAACAATATGCTCCCAGGTTGAATAATTCCAGTGCCTAACATAGTTTCTACTTCACAGTAGGCACTTAACACATATTTTTAAAATAATAAATACATTATTTAATGGATTAATCAAATGATGACATCTATCAAGGAGACTCCTTCCTTTAATACTAAGCTACACTTCGTACTTATTAAAGTGATAAAACTAAAGCTGGAGAGATGAAATTATTTCACAAGATTATATAGCTGAGAGAAGTGAAAAGACTCAAAACAAAACCAGTCTGCAAACCTGTGGTCTTTCCACAATATTGTGTTGTCTATTCCTGGATGTAATCTGAAAGAAGACAGTGGCAGGAGGAAGAGAGAGGTGGAGAAGGGTATAGAAATTCATTTTGTAATGCAAATCTAAAAGAAAAAAAACATAGAATTTTGAATTCGACACATTGGGAGAAGATTGATGCGGTAAAACAAAAGGGGAGATAATTAATTTAGGTTTTGACAGAATGAGTTTAAGACGCTGAAAATCTATAGGTTGGTGCAAAAGGTATTGTGGTTTTTGCCATTAATGGCAAAACTTTTGCACCAACCTAAACAGATGAGGATTTCAAAAGGTTATTTGGAAGAATGATTGTAGAGATACATTTTAAAAGAGACAGTTGGAACCCCAATATATGGTAAAAATGCCAACAAAGGAAATATTGAGAGAGAAAAAGTGAACCTTTCTGAGATTTCTTTCTGATGCTTCTAGTCTCTTCACATGGGCTCAGTAAAAGTCACATTGCCTAGTTTTTCCTAAAGTGTCCTACTGGCCATTTTATGAAAAACTCCTTTTATCACTTCTGACCTCAATGGCCCTACAAATCTCCTTTGACTATGGATTTCAACTACCCTGTTCTCATTGCCTACATTGGAAGAGGAAATCTTCTCTGTGCTGTCACATTATTCTCCCTTATATGGTCAACTATGATTGTTATTATAGATATATTAATTTCATATGATTTTTCTGAGTTTTTGAAATGAAAGTTTAGTCTAATAAAGCTGCATTATTGAAATGCATGTCGTCCTTACTTGAATATGTGTACTGGTCATTCTCACACATTTTTTTACTTTGATCCATATTCAGATGCAGAAATAATTCTCGAGTGTCATAAGATTTTAACATTCCCTTTGCTGCAGATATAAGTGATTGTTATAAATAGAGGGTAGAACAAATGATGAAGTCTGTATTCATTCATGAGCATTGCCATTGAAAGATTAAGAAGACAGCGTGATCATGTTGAGTTCATAACAAGATGCTCTAAAACTGATTTTTTTTTTTAAATTGAGACAGTGTCTTTCTCTGTTGCCCAGGCTGCACTGCAGTGGTGAAGTCATAGCTAGCTGCAGCCTTGAACTCCTGGGCTCAAGGGATTCTCCCACCTCAGCCTCCTGAGTAGCTGGGACTATAGATTCACACCACCTTGACTGGATAATTTTTTAAATTCACTTTTATTTTTCGTAGAGATAGGGATCTCACTTTGTTGCCCAGGCTGGTCTCGAACTCCTAAGCTCAAGTAATCCTACTGCCTTTGCCTCCCAAAGTGCTGAGACTATAGGCATGAGCCACTGTGCTGGGCCTAAAATTGAAAAATTTTTGATGGTTAGGATATTCATTTTAGTTTCTTCTACAATTAGTCCATTATCTGGCACATTGAAGGGACTCAACATTTTTGGTTGTCTGAAATGAACTGATTTAGTCAAACACATTATATCTCACTAAGAAATAGATATAATTCAAAGTCCAATTTCTACTAAAATATGAAAATACATTATCTTTTGCCTTAACCGAACCATGATTTGGAATGCAAAAAGTTTTGGCAAAAACTTTTAAAGGTCATGGAACAAAATGTTTATGTTATTGGCATTTACAGTGAAATCCTGGTACCAGTATTTTCTTTGGAAAACATAATCGAATAACTGAAAAAAAAAAAAAGAAAACACAGTCAAACTGCCTCAAACTGTTTCAAAACTGGGGGGAGTCTCTTGCTGTTCAGCAAAATGCCACACAATTTATCACATTATTGTAGTGATTGTGTCTGCCTTTAGGGAAAATCCAAAGCAGGACTGGGTATTATACTACCTCAGTGTGATCTCTGCAGGCAAATATATCACCATGTGGCAGAGTACCATGCCGAAACAAACTGCCCTGCACAAATCTGAAAAATGATAACTTTTAATCCCTGTAAGATGTATGGCAGTATAACACTTTAACTGTTTTCCATTCCCTGGCTTTTAAAGCAATTATACTCTAGGCTGCAGGGCACATTGCTAGATGCATTTTTCTGTCCTCAAAACTTTTCTTTCCCTGTTAAGTATTTTTCCAACATAAACATTTCCTAAATTGCTATGGAAACTTAGTATTAAGTATAGAAGTTATAAAAGCAAGTAGAATTTCCAGGTTTTTAAACAAAGAAAGAAATCATCTGGGATTCATTTGTGATGAAAGAACCCTCTCATATGCACTTATATGCTCTCTTAATGAGACTTACTTGAATATAACTTCAGTGAATCTTGATTAACTTGAATTGTAAAATTGCTCAGTAGATCACTGACATTATGAAGGATATGTATTAATTGCTTTGGAATTCTCAAATTCCTTAATAACACTATAGTAAATACTTTTTTTTCCACAAGGTAAACCATACTTGAAAAGTATTTGTGGGTTCCCATTAAATCTTTAATGATTCTAAGCAGAAAATCACTAAAAACATATTTAAATACACTCTACTTGAGTTCTATTTTTATAGAGTTCTTCTTTGTGTTTATTTTCATAAAACTGGCAAAAAATTATGAAAGCTAGAGTTTTTGTACCAATGAGTACAGAAAAGCAAACCTTCATTGCAGTGTAGAAAGTACAAGTTGCCACTGCCTAGTCTAATTCATGAAAGATTAAAAAAAATTATTGCTCCTTCTCTCCAGCCCCCTCCATGCCTCAAATTTGTGACTCAGCAGAAGTGAAAGTTAATTACATGCCATGAAATGTCAAGTCTATTGTAATAAGTTGACATGAAAAAATTCCCGCTCCAGAGGAAAGTTTGAATTAAATGAGGTCATCAATTTGAAATTGGGAAAGTAGGTAAATATATTAACCTTTGATCTCTATGGGTAGGTCCATTTGACTACCTATTCATTTCCCTTCAATTTCCTTCACAGTTTCTACAGGTTTATAGCTCTTCATAGGAACTCTTTTGTTATTCATTCACTCAAAAAATTATTGAGCACCTCCAAATGCTTGATACTGGGTGAACAAAAGAGTGAAGTAATAAGGTATTAAATTTAGGAATTTTTTGAAAATGCATACGAAAAATTGTGATATGTTCCTTGAATGAAAACCTGTAGTAATAGGAGATAAAATAATAATAGAGTTATGCTATAGATCATATGATTTTGACAAGCTTCTATCTGATGTAACCCTAAAAATGTCCCTGTTAATAGCTTAGAAGCAGTTATTTTCATTGAATACAAACATGTTTTCTCTAAGTGCTAAATGAGGACATTGCACTTTCAAAGATTGCCCAGCTTGTTACTATATTGCTATGCTAGCTGTTTTCCTTTTTAGAGGAAAGAGTATCCATATCAGGACAAAAGAGGGATTCCTGAAGGAAAAAAAATATAGACTACCATCAGAGTGAACTTTATTATCTCACAGAATGATGCATTTTTTCCCAACCTTGAGTTTACAATATCATTGCCTCTGTACTCAAATAGAATAACCTTTGCCTCAACCCAGACAAAATCGTTTTTTGTTTAGTACTTCTAAAAACCAGAGTAAAGACTATTTTTCCAAATGAATACTCCTTAAATTTTTGGTATTTCCAATAACGTCAATTGCTACTCTGCTCAAAAAAGTTAAACATTAACTATATTGTATATACGCAAACCATATATTTCACCTCTTCCCAGCCACCCTCAACACTTGCCTAAAATCCAAGATGACCATTGTTAGTACATTGCCCTTAAGATTCAGAAGTAAAAATTATTTTGAATGCCATCTGTCCAGTTCAGTGATTTTTCACACTGGATTTAGTCAGACAGGACTGTGGGCTCAATCTTCCTTTTCCAAAAACGATTCATACCTGATTAATATCTGGCTGGTGATCTGTATAAGCTTTTGTTGGAAATAAATGTTCTGGGCTCCATAAAAATATAAAATTATTAACTTACTTTACTATATTATTATTTGTTTAAATGAATGAAAGAACTGAAACTAAGATTAAGATATTTTTCCAAATTCAGAAAAGAGGCACTTTGTTACCTGTAGCATCAGTAGTTGCTCTTTCTACTCATTCATTAAATTTTCACTTGGCCCAAGATGAGTTGTTACTGGTAGTGAGTGCATTCAAAATGTGATACAGACAAAAATGTTACAAGCATAGAAATATAAAATTTTGTCAAAAATCAGATTTCTCTTTCCTTAGAGGTTAACAGTTTTAACCTTGTGCTGACTTTCAGGATTATCCCAGAATAAAATGCTTCCATTAAGACACAATCTCATTGGATATGCAATTAAAAAAAATACAAAAATTCAGTATGAAGTCAAATATACCCCTATTACAAGCCCCAAATCAGAACCCAGGCAAGCAAAAAAGACAGCTAAATGCAGGCATCAAGTTGTTTCACTGTGCTTTTATTCTTTCTAATGACTCAAATTAATTAAGAGGGTTTAGCACCTGTCAGAGACTTAAAAAAAAAAAAAAAAAAACTAAAAGGTCTAGTTAGAATGTTGGAGTCTAGAAATCTTAAGAGAATGCCCCAAACTGACACCAGAAATACTTCTGGGCAACTCAAGAGAAGACAGCTTATTGACCAAAATCACTAAAATCACCAAGCTTGTGACAGTTTAGTAAAGGTAAAAAGTTTACCCTTGATAAACTCTAGCAGTTACTTGTTCTGTTACAATCAAGAAATGATAATAGATGAAGGCCTGGTCACTGCTGTTTAGACCTCAGAGCACAGGAGACTGAATCTGTTTCTAGTCAGTGGTTTGTCATGGGATGGGAGTAGTCACCTACAAGGAAATGAAATCGATTTTTGACAGCTTATCAGAAATTTTACATTCAGTTTAACACAGTTATTTAAAACCAGTTTGAATGAACACATACTTTTTAATGAAGATTTTATTTCTAAATTATTTTCAATAATTTTAAATTTTATTTCTAAAATGTTTTCAATACTTTAAAACTGTATTTCTAAAATATTTTAAATATGTGTTTATTTCTATTTGCTCACATGTTATAAAAGTTGATTTCTGCTATCTTGAAAGCAAAACAAATCTTTAAAAAAATTTTCTGGCCTGGTGCGGTGGCTCACGCCTGTAATCCCAGCACTTTGGGAGGCTGAGGCTGGCAGATTACGAGGTCAGGAGTTTGAGACCAGCCTGGCCAATATGGTGAAGCCCGGTCTCTACTAAAAATACAAAAATTAGCTGGGCGTGGTGGTGCGCACCTGTAGTCCCAGCTGCTCAGGAGGCTGAGGCAGGAGAATACCTTGAATCTGGGAGATGGAGCTTTGCAGTGAGCCGAGATTGCACCACTGCACTCCAGCCTGGTGACAGAGTGAAACTCCATCTCAAAAAACAACAACAGCAAAAAAACTAACTAACTAACTAACTAAATAAATAAAAATTTTAAATTCTTGCTGTATCTCATTCTTTTGGGATACAGTCCTATTGCTTTCCTTGTTACCATTCTTAAGCCACACAAATGTCAATATCTGAGATGCCAAGCCTTCCTCAACATAATCTTATTACAGTGTACCTTCCCTCTTTCACGTACATCTTTAAAATCTGGTAGTCTTGTCTCAGTGTTATTCTTTAATCATTATGTAGTTTCTTCCATCTTTCTATGTCTTAAAATTGTCCTTGTTTCTTCTGTTCCATGGCTCTAGAATGTTCTTCTTATCTGTCTGGTCTATTTTACTAGTTCCTTAGCATCTTCCAAGTTCTCATATATAGGATTTTAAAATGATCAATTCTGCTCACTGATGGAATTTGAAAATCTCAGATAAATTCCCATATCCATCACCTTCTTGAGCCTCAGTTTCTTCCCCAAGTGAGACATGTGTGATAATAATAGCCAGCTTTACTCACAAAATTTTTGGAATAAAATATGCAAAATTAAATAACAAATTTTAGTAATTTATGAAGATGTGTTGAACTATTCCTACCAGTTAGAATTGCCTCATAAAGGTGTGCCTGTGATGCAAACTGGCCGACCAGATAACTCTGTGAATGCTCTATTCCTTCTTGTCAGAGAAGACGTGTTCTTTCTTTTATGGCTGACAGGCTAGAGAATATGGTCTAATTATGTCTATGACACAGAAGAAGACTGAGGGATAGAGAGGGAAAGAATCCAGTGATACTTCTTGAGCTCTTTAATCCAGCCATATACATAGCTTGACATAATTTAATATAAAAACTTTACTTAAGCCAGACTAGAGGCATTCTTCAGCTTCCCATCTAATGCGTAAGGCTTCTAGAGAGCTTCTTCTCTACCCAGAATAACTTTATGCTACAGCAGAGTAAAGACTAGAATGATACCTTGAGCCCCTTTCTCACATAATGTATTTTTTACTTTTTATTGCTCACAAGATTACAATACAGAAACATCATTTCTGTGTTTTTTCCTATACATTTTTCACAACTTTGATCATTTGTTCTATTACTAATGTATTATAGTCATTAAAATGACTAACTTTAGACTCACAAACTTGGCATTGAATGGAGATTTGTATCCACTAATTATCTGATATACTGCCTACTTGTTTACTCTTCACATCAAGCTTGATTTATTACCATAAAATAGGTTAATCTGAGGATTCCAAGCAAAAAGAATATACTTATTACAACACCTTTAATTTCTGTTGCCAATAACAAGATTTTAAAAATCTGGCAAGGAGTTTGCCATGAATCTTTGTATAAATACTTAATTTTTAAATTTTGAGCAAATATTGAAAACATAAACAACTATATTGAAAAATGCTGCTTTGTCCTTTACAATAGAGGAAGAAGGACCCTATTTAGAAAACATTCATATGGGAGAAGGCAAGGGTGCAGGTGGGGGAAAGCACATGAGAGGGCCAGATTTCTTCTTTCATAATGGTACTTATCCCACTGGTAAGGGTGGAGCTGTCATAGCCTGATCACCTCTTAAATGTTCCACCTCTTAATACTGTTGCAATGGCAGTTACATTTCAACATGAATTTTCAAGGGTACAAACATTCAAACCATAACAAGGGATATTGATTTCGAAGCCAAATTTAACCATGAAGATACAACTACTTTTGGTTTTAATGCTGGGACAGTCAATCTAATCTGCGGTCAGATTTTAGTTAAACTTACATTTATGTAACAAAAAATAATTTGTGGATTATCAGCTATTTCTATACTTGTAAAAGAATATACTGGAAATCGACTTGTGAGAGGCAGATAGACTTTCAGCATTCATTTACTAGCTGTGTGTCTATAAACAGGTTATTTTAACCCCTCGGACGCAGATGACTCAATTTCAAAATGAGAAGATTTGATTAACTAAATATACAAAATGTAGGTTTGTCTAAACCTTCATGTTGTAGGAGAAACATAAAGTAAGAGCCAGAGAGCCAGTGTATCTCTGAAGATCAAATAGTAAGCTGGCATGGGGAGGTACTAGCTTTACATGAACCTGGAATAGAGAACAATGAAGCACTCATTTTCTTCTTTCTAATTTCCTTACACCCTTTTATTTACAGATATATCATTTTGGATGACAATTGTGAACACTGAAATACCAGGATCCAGAGATAGAAAATGCTGCCACTTTAAGTGTAATTTTACTTGCGCCCCGTGAAAGAAGCCATGACTCTACCACAGTATTCTATTTTGACACGTCTGAGTCCTAGAAACATGGTAGAACTTAAATAGCAGTAGTTATAAGAGGTGTGAATTTAGTTAGGGTCTGGTCAAGAGACTTGAAAATACCCATTTATTCTAACAATAGAGAATAATTTTTTAATATGTTGAACTTCTTTAATATAAAGTATTTCTCAGAATTGAAAAAATTAAAAGCGGAAAAGGAAATAATAAAGTCTCACAAAAACAACAGTGGAGAAAGCAGCTGCAAACCCTAGGACCAAGG
The DNA here is from genome assembly GCF_000001405.40 of Homo sapiens. Classification (NCBI taxonomy): domain Eukaryota; kingdom Metazoa; phylum Chordata; class Mammalia; order Primates; family Hominidae; genus Homo; species Homo sapiens. The sequence continues at coordinate 62,560,886 of NC_000006.12, read as the reverse complement.
AGAAAAAAGGGAAGATGTTGGAATTATTACAATTTAAAAACTTGAAGGATGATTCCTGTGGGGCTGGACTCAGGTATCTGAGGAAGAAACACTGGCCAGCTGGTGTCAGAGGTCCCAAAGGAGTATACAATAAGTCTGAATCTGTAAGTGCCAAAAAAACTGCAAACAGGAATCAACTCTTAATGCTTAATGAAGAAGTAATGCTCAAGTGATACTGAGAGGGACAGGAAGCAAAGAGATAGCAAATAATATGGTCCCTTCTTTCTTCCTCAGTATTCCAGTTTCATCTAGCAACCCCTTTGGGTAGAATCTAATAGAAAAGCCAAAATATGATTTGTAGACTACTAACAGCCATATTACAAACCTGAGTGTAGAAATGGGAAGGGAGATTTAAAGCTAGGAGACAATGGCTTAGCAACTGGCAAAGAGGAGGTGTGAAATTGTAGAGGAGGATATAACATGGGAGGAAGATTTATATTTTATGAAGGTGTGAGACTTAATTTAGATCAGGTTTTCCAAGAAACAAGAAAAAATATTCTTGTCTCTTTTTAATCAAAAAGAATATGTGAGTTATTTCAAAATGCTTCATTTCCCCCCCAAGGGGGAAAAATGAAGAATATTAAATGTAATTGAGTGAAAGTTGATATTTTAGTTCAGAAGAAAACTTTTGTACAAAGCGGTGAGTTAATGCATTTTCCTTTTAAACGGCACTATTGATTAAAAGGAGAGATTCATAAATCAGTTATTTAAGCTAATTATTGTCAACTCCTTCATGCAGAAGTCAATTCAGAGGATCTTGCATATTTAACATTGCAGGGGAGATGCCCTTTTTCTTAATTGTATATTAACTGCCTTGACTAGATAAATCCTCCCAATTCTAAAATTCTAATTTCTCCATAAGGGAGTAGGAGATATGGTATAAGCAAAATTGAGGTTGGAGGTCATTGCAAATATTCTATATTTTAGCTCTTTCTAATTTTCTACAACCCATCCATAATATTTAATATATTGAGCACTCAATTCCAGAATCTTCAGAAAGAAAATAGAAACATGTATTTAGTAGAATAACAAAGAAGAAATCAGCACAATTTACCACCTCCTATTTTCCTATTTCAGTTTTCCTGAGCAGAGTAGTTTCTTTTTATTTATTTATTTATTTTTTTATACTTTAAGTTTTAGGGTACATGTGCACAATGTGCAGGTTAGTTACATATGTATACAGGTGCCATGCTGGTGTGGTGCACCCATTACCTCGTCATTTAGCATTAGGTATATCTCCTAATGCTATCCCTCTCCACTCCCCCCACCCCACAACAGTCTTCAGAGTGTGATGTTCCCCTTCCTGTGTCCATGTGTTCTCATTGTTCAATTCCCACCTATGAGTGAGAATATGTGGTATTTGGTTTTTTGTTCTTGCGATAGTTTACTGAGAATGATGATTTCCAATTTCATCCATGTCCCTACTAAGGACATGAACTCATCATTTTTTATGGCTGCATAGTATTCCATGGTGTATATGTGCCACATTTTCTTAATCCAGTCTATCATTGTTGGACATTTGGGTTGGTTCCAAGTCTTTGCTATTGTGAATAGTGCCACAATAAACATACGTGTGCATGTGTCTTTATAGCAGCATGATTTATAGTCCTTTGGGTATATACCCAGTAATGGGATGTCTGGGTCAAATGGTATTTCTAGTTCTAGATCCCTGAGGAATCGCCACACTGACTTCCACAAGGGATGAACTAGTTTACAGTCCCACCAACAGTGTAAAAGTGTTCCTATTTCTCCACATCCTCTCCAACACCTGTTGTTTCCTGACTTTTTAATGATTGCCATTCTAACTGGTGTGAGATGATATCTCATTGTGGTTTTGATTTGCATTTCTCTGATGGCCAGTGATGGTGAGCATTTCTTCATGTGTTTTTTGGCTGCATAAATGTCTTCTTTTGAGAAGTGTCTGTTCATATCCTTTGCCCACTTTTTGATGGGGTTGTTTGTTTTTTTCTTGTAAATTTGTTGGAGTTCATTGTAGATTCTGGATATTAGCCCTTTGTCAGAAGAGTAGGTTGCGAAAATTCTCTCCCATTCTGTAGGTTGCCTGTTCACTCTGATGGTAGTTCCTTTTGCTGTGCAGAAGCTCTTTAGTTTACTTAGATCCCATTTGTCCATTTTGGCTTTTGTTGCCATTGCTTTTGGTGTATTAGACATGAAGTCCTTGCCCATGCCTATGTCCTGAATGGTATTGCCTCGGTTTTCTTCTAGGGTTTTTATGGTTTTAGGTCTAACATGTAAGTCTTTAATCCATCTTGAATTAATTTTTGTATAAGGTGTAAGGAAGAGATCCAGTTTCAGCTTTCTAGATATGGCTAGCCAGTTTTCCCAGCACCATTTATTAAATAGGGAATCCTTTCCCCATTGCTTGTTTTTCTCAGTTTTGTCAAAGATCAGATACTTGTAGATGTGCGGCGTTATTTCTGAGGGCTCTGTACTGTTCCATTGATCTATATCTCTGTTTTGGTACCAGTACCATGCTGTTTTGGTTACTGTAGCCTTGTAGTATAGTTTGAAGTCAGGTAATGTGATGCTTCCAGCTTTGTTCTTTTGGCTTAGGATTGACTTGGCGATGCGGACTCTTTTTTGGTTCCATATGGACTTCAAAGTGGTTTTTTCCAATTCTGTGAAGAAAGTCATTGGTAGCTTGATGGGGATGGCATTGAATCTGTAAATTACCTTGGGAAGTATGGCAATTTTCATGATATTGATTCTTCCTACCCATGAGCATGGAATGTTCTTCCATTTGTTTGTATCCTCTTTTATTTCATTGAGCAGTGGTTTGTAGTTCTCCTTGAAGAGGTCCTTCAAGTCCCTTGTAAGTTGGATTCCTAGGTATTTTATTCTCTTTGAAGCAATTGTGAATGGGAGTTCACTCATGATTTGGCTCTCTGTTTGTCTGCTATTGGTGTATAAGAATGCTTGTGATTTTCATACATTGATTTTGTATCCTGAGACTTTGCTGAAGTTGCTTATCAGCTTAAGGAGATTTTGGGCTGAGACAACGGGATTTTCTAGATATACAATCATGTCATCTGCATACAGGGGCAATTTGGCTTCCTCTTTTCCTAATTGAATACCCTTTATTTCCTTCTCCTGCCTAATTGCCCCAGCCAGAACTTCCAACACTATGTTGATTAGGAGTGGTGAGAGAGGGCATCCCTGTCTTGTGCCAGTTTTCAAAGGGAATGCTTCCAGTTTTTATCCATTCAGTATGATATTGGCTGTGGGTTTGTCATAGATAGCTCTTATTATTTTGAGATACATCCCATCAATACCTAATTTATTGAGAGTTTTTAGCATGAAGTGTTGTTGAATTTTGTCAAAGGCCTTTTCGGCATCTATTGATATAATCATGTGGTTTTTGTCTTTGGTTCTGTTTATATGCTGGATTACATTTATTGATTTGCATATATTGAACCAGCCTTGCATCCCAGGGATGAAGCCCACTTGATCATGGTGGATAAGCTTTTTGATGTGCTGCTGGATTCGGTTTGCCAGTATTTTACTGAGGATTTTTGCATCAATGTTCATCAAGGATATTGGTCTAAAATTCCCTTTTGTGGTTGTGTCTCTGCCAGGCTTTGGTATCAGGATGATGCTGGCCTCATAAAATGAGTTAGGGAGGATTCCCTCTTTTTCTATTGATTGGAATAGTTTCAGAAAGAATGGTACCAGCTCCTCCTTGTACCTCTGGTAGAATTCGGCTATGAATACATCTGGTCCTGGACTCTTTTTGGTTGGTAAGCTATTGATTATTGCCACAATTTCAGAGCCTGTTATTGGTCTATTCAGAGAGTCAACTTCTTCCTGGTTTAGTCTTGGGAGGGTGTATGTGTTGAGGAATTCATCCATTTCTTCTAGATTTTCCAGTTTATTTGTGTAGAGGTGTTTGTAGTATTCTCTGATGGTAGTTTGTATTTCTGTGGGATCGGTGGTGATATCCCCTTTATCATTTTTTATTGCATCTATTTCATTCTTCTCTCTTTTCTTCTTTATTAGTCTTGCTAGCAGTCTATCAATTTTGTTGATCCTTTCAAAAAACCAGATCCTGGATTCATTAATTTTTTGAAGGGTTTTTTGTGTCTCTATTTCCTTCAGTTCTGCTCTGATTTTAGTTATTTCTTGCCTTCTGCTAGCTTTTGAATGTGTTTGCTCTTGCTTTTCTAGTTCTTTTAATTGTGATGTTAGGGTGTCAATTTTGGATCTTTCCTGTTTTCTCTTGTGGGCATTTAGTGCTATAAATTTCCCTCTACACACTGCTTTGAAAGTGTCCCAGAGATTCTGGTATGTTGTGTCTTTGTTCTTGTTGGTTTCAAAGAATGTCTTTATTTTTGCCTTCATTTTGTTATGTACCCAGTAGTCATTCAGGAGCAGGTTGTTCAGTTTCCATGTAGTTGAGCAGTTTTGAGTGAGTTTCTTAGTCTGAGTTCTAGTTTGATTGCACTGTGGTCTGAGAGACAGTTTGTTATAATTTCTGATCTTTTACATTTGCTGAGGAGAGCTTTACTTCCAACTATGTGGTCAATTTTGAAATAGGTGTGGTGTGGTGCTGAAAAAAATGTATATTTTGTTGATTTGGGTTGGAGAGTACTGTAGATGTCTATTAGGTCCACTTGGTGCAGAGCTGAGTTCAATCCCTGGGTATCCTTGTTAACTTTCTGTCTCATTGATCTGTCTAATGTTGACAGTGGGGTGTTAAAGTCTCCCATTATTATTGTGTGGGAATCTAAGTCTCTTTGTAGGTCACTCAGGACTTGCTTTATGAATCTGGGTGCTCCTGTATTGGGTGCATATATATTTAGGATAGTTAGCTCTTCTTGTGGAATTGATCCCTTTACCATTATGTAATGGCCTTCTTTGTCTCTTTTGATGTTTGTTGGTTTAAAGTCTGTTTTATCAGAGACTAGGATTGCAACCCCTGCCTTTTTTTGTTTTCCATTTGCTTGGTAGATCTTCCTCCATCCTTTTATTTTGAGCCTATGTGTGTCTGTGCACATGAGATGGGTTTCCTGAATACAGCACACTGATGGGTCTTGACTCTTTATCCAATTTGCCAGTTTGTGTCTTTTAATTGGAGCATTTAGTCCACTTACATTTAAAGTTAATATTGTTATGTGTGAATTTGATCCTCTCATTATGATGTTAGCTGGTTATTTTGCTCGTTAGTTGATGCAGTTTCTTCCTAGCCTCGATGGTCTTTACAATTTGGCATGATTTTGCAGTGGCTGGTACCGGTTGTTCCTTTCCATGTTTAGTGCTTCCTTCAGGAGCTCTTTTAGGGCAGGCCTGCTGGTGACAGAATCTCTCAGCATTTGCTTGTCTGTAAAGGATTTTATTTCTCCTTCACTTATGAAGCTTAGTTTGGCTGGATATGAAAGTGAGACTCCGTGGGCATAGGACCCTCTGAGCCAGGTGCAGGATATAATCTCCTGGTGCGCCGTTTTTTAAGCCAGTCGGAAAAGCACAGTATTGGGGTGGGAGTGACCTGATTTTCCAGGTGCCATCTGTCACCCCTTTCTTTGACTAGGAAAGGGAGCTCCCTGACCCCTTGCGCTTCCTGAGTGAAGCAATGCCTCGCCCTGCTTCAGCTCATGTATGGTGCGCTGCAGCCACTGTCCTGCGCCCACTGTCTGGCACTCCCTAGTGAGATGAACCCAGTACCTCAGATGGAAATGCAGAAATCACCCGTCTTCTGCGTCGCTCATGCTGGGAGCTGTAGACCTGAGCTTTTCCTATATGGCCTTCTTGGCTCCAGCCGAGCAGAGTATTTTCAAGGAATTTTCTCTCAGGGATGCATTTTGTTGATAATTAATTTCTTCTTTTTTAACTTTTAAGCTCAGGAATACATGTGCAGGTTTGTTGTATAGGTAACCTTGTCTCATGGGAGTTTGTTGTAGAGATTATTTCATCACTCAGGTATTAAGGCTAGTACCCATTGGTTATTTTTCCTGATCCTCTTGCTCCTCCCATCCTGAACCCTCCAAAAGCCCTCAATGTGTTTTTCCCCTCTATGCAACCATGTGTTCTCATCATTTAGTTCCCACTTATAATAAGTGAGAACATGCAGTGTTTGGTTTTCTGTTCCTGTGTTAGTTTGCTAAGGATAATGGCCCCTAGCTCCATTCACGTTCCTGCAAAGGACATGATCTCATTCTTTTTATGGCTCCATGGTATATATGTACCATATTTTCTTTATCTAGTCTATCACTGATGGGCATTTAGGTTGATTCTTTGTTTTTGCTATTGCTAATAGTGCTGCAATGAACATATGTGTACATGTGTCTTTATAGCAGAATGATTTATATGCCTTTGGGTATATACCCAGTAATTTATATGCCTTTGGGTCTATTCCCAGTAATGAGATTACTGGGTCAAATGGTGTTTCTGTTTTTAGGTCTTCAAGTAATCACCACACTGTCTTTCACAATGGTTGAACTAATTTACACTCCCACCAACTGTGTGTGAGCATTTCTTTTTCTCTGCAACCTCGCCAGCATCTGTCATTTTTTGACATGTTAATATTAGTCATTCTGATTGGCGTGAGATGGTATCTCATTGTGGTTTTGATTTGCATTTCTTTAATGATCAGTGATGTGGAGCTTTTTTTTCCATATACTTCTTGGCCACATATATGTCTTTTGAAAAGTGTTCATGTTTTATACCCACTTTTTAATGGGGTTGTTTGTTTTCTAGTAAATTTGTTTAAATTTCTTATAGATGCTGGATATTAGAGCTTTGTTGGATGCATAGTTTGAAAACTCTTCTTTTTTCCCATTCTGTAGGTTGTTTGTTCACTCTATTGATAGTTTCTTTTGCTTTGCAGAAGTTCTTTAGTTTAATTAGATCCCATTTATCAATTTTTGCTTTTGTTGCAATTGATTTTGGCATTTCCATCATGAAATCTTTGCCCATTCCTATGTCCAGAATGGTATTGTTTTTCAGGGTTTTTTATAGCTTTAGGTTTTATATATAACTCTTTATTCCATCTTGAGTTAACTTTTCTAGGTTGTTTTTCAGGTTTTTTTAGTAGCTTTGGGTTTTATATATAACTCTTTATTTCATCTTGAGTTAACTTTTGTATATGGTGTAAGGAAAGGGTCCACTTTCAATCTTCTGCATTTGGCTAGCCAGTTATCCCAGCACCATTTATTGAATAGGGTGTCCTTTCCCCATTGCTTGTTTTTGTCAGGTCTATCAAAGATCAGATAGTTGTAGGTGTGTGGCTTTATTTCTGGGTTCTCTATTTTGTTCCATTGGTCTATGTGTTTGTTTTTGTATGAGTACCACTGTACAAGTTGTACAGTTGTTTGGGTTACTGTAGCTCTGTAGTATAGTTTGAAATTGGGTAGCATGATGCCCCCTGCTTTGTTCTTTTTGCTTAGGATAGCCTTGGCTATTTGGGCTCTTGGTTCCATATGAATTTTAAAATAGTTTTTTTCTAGTTCTGTGAAGAATCTCAATGGTAGTCTAAAAGGAATAGCACTGAAACTTGTAAATTGCTTTGGGCAGTATGGCCATTTTTACAATATTGATTTATGGCTTGATTCTACTCGATTCTTTCAAACGTTGTTTTTATCCAGGAAAAAAACACACACACACACACACACAGATGGGAGAGATAGGGATTTAGGGTATCATCCAAATAAGAATGATGTGCCATCAGAGCTGACTCTCCCTGAGAGTCATATAGATAGTTATACAATTGTTATAGTTATACAGTTATAGTTTTATTTGTTATATGGTTATAATTGGGTTAGATTATATTCCGTTGCCTTCAGTGCTTCACCGTTGACAGCAGCCTGTCCCATCAGATGTCACAATGGGCACAGAAGTTTATTTGTGGGATTAATGTATCTATGATTGTATTTTACTATGCTGGGTAAGTAAGTACCTTTAGAAGTCATCTTTGGGAACAAGGATATTTACATGTATGTAAGTTGTTTATATTGTCGACTAGTTTTATATGCAGTTTGTCATTACTTTTGTTTCAGGTTGTTTTATTTGGGCCATAACATAATTTAGCATGATGAAAGCTCATCTTAACCCTGCATGTAAATTCTCGGGTTCCTGTGTGGTCTTATTGCATCTTTCTTGGTCCTATTCTAGTTTGCCTTTCACCAGTTTCTGTTACTTTCCTTAGGCTAACCAATCATCTAGCAGGGAAATAGTTACCATTCTTGTGCTCCCTTAGTGTATATATGAGTTTCATTTGGTATCATTTTCCTTCAGTCTAAAGAATGTAACATTTCCGTAAGTACAGTTTTGCCTAAAATTAAGTCTTAGCTTTTGCTTGTGTCTTTATTACACTTTTTAAATTTTTCAATTTTTTTATTTAAATAAATATGTGAATTTTTAAGTTATACAACATAGTGTTATGAGATACATATATATGTGTATCTTATATATATGTATGTATATATATAGTAAAATGGTAACTGTAGTGAAACAAATAAATATCTCTATTATCTCATATTCACTATTATTTTTTATTTTTTTGTTTTGTTATACAACTGTAGGTTATTGAGGATTTTTGCATCAATGTTCATCAAGGATATTGGCCTAAAATTCTCTTTTTTGGTTGTGTCTCTGCCACGCTTTGGTATCAGGATGATGCTGGCCTCATAAAATGAGTTAGGGAGGATTCCCTCTTTTTCTATTGATTGGAATAGTTTCAGAAGGAATGGTACCAGCTCCTTCTTGTACCTCTGGTAGAATTCGGCTGTGAATCCATCTAGTCCTGGATTTTTTTTGGTTGGTAAGCTCTTAATTATTGCCTCAATTTCAGAGCCTGTTATTGGTCTATTCAGAGATTCAACTTCTTCCTGGTTAAGACTTGGGAAGGTGTATGTGTCGAGGAATTTATCCATTTCTTCTAGATTTTCTAGTTTATTTGCGTATAGGTGTTTATAGTATTCTCTGATGGTAGTTTGTATTTCTGTGGGATCGGTGATGATATCCCCTTTGTCATTTTTTATTGCGTCTATTTGATTCTTCTCTCTTTTCTCCTTTATTAGTCTTGCTAGCAGTCTATCAATTTTGTTGATCTTTTCAAAAAAACAAATATTGACAAACCGAATCCTGCAGCACATGAAAAAGCTTATCCACCGTGATCAAGTGGTCTTCATCCCTGGGATGCAAGGCTGGTTCAACATATGAAAATCAGTAATCGTAATCCATCATATAAACAGAACCAAAGACAAAAACTACATGATTATATCAATAGATGCAGAAAAGGCCTTTGACAAAATTCAACAACCCTTCATTCTAAAAACTCTCAATAAATTCGGTATTAATGCGATGTATCTCAAAATAATAAGAGCTATCTATGACAAACCCACAGCCAATATCATACTGAATGCACAAAAACTGGAAGCATTCCCTTTGAAAACTGGCACCAGACAGGGATGCCCTCTCTCACCACTCCTAATCAACTTAGTGTTGGAAGTTCTGGCCAGGGCAATCAGGCAGGAGAAGGAAATAAAAGGCATTCAATTAGGAAAAGAGAAAGTCAAATTGTTCCTGTTTGCAGATGACATGGTTTTATATCTAGAAAACCCCATCGTCTCAGCCCAAAATCTGCTTAAGCTGATAAGCAACTTCAGCAAAGTCTCAGGATACAAAATCAATGTGCAAAAATCACAAGCATTCTTACACACCAACAACAGACAAACAGAGAGCCAAATCATGAGTGAACTCCCATTCACAATTGCTTCAAAGAGAATAAAATACCTAGGAATCCAACTTACAAGGGTTGTGAAGGACCTCTTCAAGGAGAACTACAAACCACTGCTCAATGAAATAAAACAGGATACAAACAAATGGAGGAACACGCCATGCTCATGGGTAGGAAGAATCAATATCGTGAAAATGGCCATACTGCCCAAGGTAATTTATAGATCCAATGCCATCCCCATCAAGCTACCAATGCCTTTCTTCAGAGAATTGGAAAAAACTACTTTAAAATTCATATGGAACCAAAAACAAAAAGTTCATATGGAACACTGCATATTCTCACTCATAGGTGGGAATTGAACAGTGAGAACACATGGACACAGGAAGGGGAACATCACACATCAGGGACTGCTGTAGGGTGCGGGGAGTGGGGAGGGAGAGCATTAGGAGATATACCTAATTAATGCTAAATGACGAGTTAATGGGTGCAACACACCAACATGGCACATGTATACATATGGAACAAACCTGCATGTTGGGCACATGTACCCTAAAACTTAAAGTATAATAATAATAAAATTAAAAAATAACTCTAGGTTAACAGCTTTACATTTTTAAAGAATTATAAAAGTACTCTTCTAGTTTCTTATGGCTTGCCTTTTTTCTGATGCAAAGTAAATGATAATATTTATTTTGAGTTTCATTCTATGCAATGTGTTTTCTTCCTACTATTGTTATTTTTATATTATCTGTTTGTCAATGGTCCCAGAAGTTTGATTGTAATGAGTCTTGATGTAGTATTCTTTGTATGCTATAGCTTGGAGTTTGTTGGGCTTCTTCATGATTGGCATACAATTTGGAACATTTTCAGTCGTATTTCTTTAAATATTTTGTCTTCCCTTCTCTTACTTCCTTTTTCCTTTCCAGGACTTCAGTCACATGCATGTTATACTGCTAATCTTTTCTCACAGATCATGGGAATCTGTTTATGTTATACATTTTCTCAGCAGTTTTTCCTCTGTCATTCTGTTTGGTTAGTTTTATTGCTGTCTTCAAGTTTACCAAGGCTTTCATCTAGAGAATTGAATCTGCTATTAAGTCCATCTAGTATATTTTTTAATATAGAGCTTACATTTTTGGGGTTTAAAATTTCTATTTAGTTTTTTTAACATGTTTCATTCATCTACCCATTATGTGTGTTTTTTTATTTGTTTCTCATGCACATTTATAATAATGTTTAAAGTCTTGGCTGGCTACTTACATCACCTCTCAGTTCTGTGTCTGTTTCTATATATTCAAATTTCTCATAGTTTTTGGTCACATTTTACTTCTCATGTCTAGGTCTTTTATTATTGGAGGTTGAAGTGAATATTACGATATTGAGGGTCTAGATTTTTTTGTTTTCCTTGTAGATAGCTGAATTTGTTTTGGTAGGTACTTGATTTAATTTACTTGCAGCTTACTAAGACTTTCACACTCTTGCATTACCCCTTGCTGTGTCAGAGTCGAAAGTGCCTCAAGGCACAGAGTTGGGATGATCATAGGGATCATTTGCTTATTTCTCATCTCTCAAGAATCATGTTTCTAAAATGTCTGTTATCTTGTATCTGCAAAAAGTTGTTTTAAAATATTTTTTCCATTTTATAGTGTTTATAGCAGAAAGTCTAATCTGGTATGAATTACTGTCGCAGACAGTGTAGAGCAGATCATTTAAAAAATGACATTAATTTTTCCCAGGATATGAGTGAAACATGAAAATAAAAAATATGTGTCTCAGTCAATTTGGATGAAAATTAAGACTACCTAGCTATTATCTCTTATTATTCAATAGTTGAAACTACTTTTATTGATTATACAGCATTTCATAAAAATTATTTCTAAATTTATATTGAAGAATGTCATGGGGCCATCCTGAGACATGGTGCTAACAATTTTGTTTTTAGTTGCAGAAAAAAGGATGAATAATGACTGGGCTGAACCCAGTATGAAAAAGAAGAAATAAAGAATCCCCACATTGAAGCCATTGAAATTACACTTGACATTTAGATGACACTCAGGCGTTTAGAAAAGAACAAGCTGAGATGGCTCTGAAAGCTTTACTGGAAAATGAGGACACAAATAAAACTGCTTAACCGATGCATGGGATAAAGGGGAGAAGGATCTCTGGGGGGGCTTTCACTGGATTTACCATAATAAGCAGAACTTGTGTAATTGTGTCAAGAGGGCTTATGTAAGCACTTATTAGTAACAGAAGGAAGCTGGGAAGAGCAAGTATATTTAGTTTACAGCAAACTAGAAATAAAGTATTACTATTTTCAGATGATATGGAATAAGGATATCCTAGAGGAATACAATGTAGTCAATGTCCTGGGGTCTCTGCCCCACAATACACACATTAAGGGAAGATACAGTTTTAGTCCAGCAATATATTATGTGCTAATTGTTTGCATTAACTTACATGTATATATGCCAAAAAAATCACATGCTGATATGATTTAGTTTTATGTGCAGTTTTTAGTTGTTTGAATACAGAAAAACAAAATATTCTAGCTTCTTAGCACAGGAAGGCCTGAGTGAATTAGTTCACTGGGGATGGAAATGGAAGGCAAGAAAAAGAGAAGAGAGAGAGAGCTGATAGTAATGCAGCTATTTACAGTATAATTAGGTCCTAATCATGCCAAACCATTGGTATCACTGAGTGTGCCATGTACAAACTATGGGCCTCCTAATGCATGCTGAGAGCTCCCTCATGTATTTATTCATATATAATTTTTTGAACAATTCATTTACATTGACATATCTTGGTTTAACTCATTTTTTTTTTTTTTTGGTGTTGCCCCAGGTTTATTGAAAATGTTACAGCATTGCAGAAAGATTCAGCCAGCTCCAGGAGGCATTTTGAAATTAATCCTAACATAGACTGAGTGACCTGCAGTTTGGACAGACTGCCTAACTCCAAAAGCTTCAGCATTTCCTTAGTGTCAGGATCCACTTCAGTGATCTGCTGATCCAGGGCTGAGACCACAGGATCCTAATTATCTCTCCTTTCTCTCTCCTCCTCCTGTAGCCTGATGGAGATACATCTCACCGGACCCCTCTGAATCTGCCTCATGAGATGTGTGACATAGCCTGCTTTCTTTTTTTTTTTTTAATTATACTTTAAGTTTTAGGGTACATGTGCACAATGTGCAGGTTTGTTACATATATATACATGTGCCATGTTGGTGTGCTGCACACATTACCTCATCATTTAGCATTAGGTATATCTCCTAATGCTATCCCTCCCCCATACCCCCACCCCACAACAGGCCCTGGTGTGTGATGTTCCCCTTCCTGTGTCCATGTGTTCTCATTGTTCAATTCCCACCTATGAGTGAGAACATGCGGTGTTTGGTTTTTTGTCCTTGCGATAATTTGCTGAGAATGATGGTTTCCAGCTTCATCCATGTCCCTACAAAGGACATGAACTCATCATTTTTTATGGCTGCATAGTATTCCATGGTGTATATGTGCCATATTTTCTTAATCCAGTCTATCATTGTTGGACATTTGGGTAGGTTCCAAGTCTTCGCTATTGTGAATAGTGCCACAATAAACCTGCTTTCTTGTTGCGGAGCTTCTTGCTGGGGATAATGGCGATCTCCTTACACACGCGCTTGTTCCTGTGGAAGTTGCTACCCACATGATGACCCGGGCCACCTTCTTCACGGTTTTTGGTGCGATTGCGGCCCATGTTGGCAGGTCCTTGATCTAACTCATGCTTTTTGTTAATGATTTCAAGGAATATTTAATAGAAAAGCCATAATTAATGCTTGAGCAGACTAAATATTTCTCACAGCTGCAGTACTCCTATAAAGGAAGTGGCTCAATTTCATTGTTTTCATGGGTTTGTCAGAGGTTCAGTGTTTGTTTAAATCAAACAAATTTCATGTTTTTAAACCTACTATTGGTGTCAGTTATGGTTGAACCTACTAGATTTGGATATGAGTTCCGCACAACCTGAAAAACACAAATGTTAACATTGATAATTGGTTATACTATGAAAGGTTAATTTGATTGCTCATATTTTGCCTCATATTTAAGGATTAAAATATATGTATTATATATATTTATATATAATTATAAAATTAGCAGGGTGTGGTGGCCCACCAGCTCTAACTTATTCTTTTTGTTAATGATTTCAAGGAATATTTAATAGAAAAGCCATAATTAATGCTTGAACAAAGTAAATATTTCTCACAGCTGCAGTGCTTCTATAAAGGGAGTGGCTCAATTTCATTGTTTTCATGAGTTTATCAGGGGTGCAGTGTTTAAATCAAAGAAGTTTCACATTTTTAAAACTATTGTTGGTGTCAGTTATGGTTGAGCCTACTAGATTTGGATATGAGTTCCACACAACCTGAAAAACACAAATGTTAATTCATAATACTATGAAAGGCTAATTTGATTGCTCATTGAAAAACACAAATGTTAATTCATAATACTATGAAAGGCTAATTTGATTGCTCATATTTTGCCTCATATTTAAGGATTAAAAGGAAGTTATTCCTAAACTTACTTGCTTTAAAGTATCTTGTCATGAGTTATTATATATAATTATATTATATATAATAAAATGTATAATATATAATAAATGTATAATATATAATGAATATAAACATATAATATATAATAAAATGTATAATATATAATGTAACATTATTTATATTATAATGATATATATTTATAATGATATAATATAATTATAAAGATATAATATTTATATTATACATAAGTATATTTATATACTAATTATATTTTATATAATATATAACTATAATTATACAATTACATATAATTATAAAGCATAAGTTGTTACATATAACATATATATAATTTTGTTAATATAAATATATATAATATATAAATACTACAAATAAAAAATTTCATTAACATAAGATATATGTATTTTATATATTATATCTTTATATATTATATATTATAATCATATAATATACTTTCTTATAAGTTTATACTTATAAGAATATATATCATTATATATTATATATTATGATATTTATAATAAATTATATATATATGTATGTATCTTTTATTTTTTGAGGCAGAGTCTTGCTCTGTTGCCCAGTTGGGAGTGCAGTGGTGCAGTCTCAGCTCACTGCAACCTCTGCCTCCTAGGCCCAAGCAATTCTCCTGCCTCAGCGTCCCGAGTAGCTGGGATTACAGGCACATGCTACCATGCCCAGCTAATTTTTATATTTTCAGTAGAAACAGTGTTTTGTCATGTTGGCCCAGGCTGGTCTTGAACCCATGACCTCAAGTCATCCACCTGCCTTGGCCTCCCAAAGTGCTGGGGTTACAGACATGAGTCACTATGTCCGGCCTATATCTTTTTAAATTATATATATTATAATATATATTACATAATATATAATTATATTATGTATATTATGTGATATATAATATATGTATTGTATGTATTGATAAAGAAGTTGAAGAAAAATTTATATTTTAAAATATAAGAAAGCTGTAATGGGGAGGCCAAGATGGGAGAATTGCTTGAGCCCAGGATTTTGAGACCAGCCGAGGAAACATGGTGAGACCTCATTTCTACCATAAAACAATTTTTAAAAATATTAACCAGGAGAGGTGACACACAACTGTTTTCCTAGCTACTTGGGAAGCTGAGGTAGAAAGAGTGCTTGAGGTGGGGAGGCCGAAGCTGCAATGAGCAGTGATTGCACCACTGCACTCCAGCCTGGGTGACAGACCAAGGCCCTGTCTAAAAAAAAAAAAAAAAAAAAGGAAAGAAGAAAGAAAGGTAAATAAATAAATAAATAAAAGCTATGAATATTTTTGTATGAGCCCTTTTTTTGACATATATTTTTATTTATTTTGAGTGAATGGAATTTATTCAAGTAAATTGGAACTCCAAGCAAGAGGAACTGTTATAAAATTATTTTAAAGAAAAACCAAAGAGTTATCGAAAATATCTCCCTTATTCTTCTCTCAGCCACGTAAAATTACTTTAGTGGTTGTACATCCTTGCCAGCATTTTGTGCTCTCAGTCTTTTGGATTTTACCCATTCTAGAGGGTCTTTGAGTCTCTCTCCCTCTCTTTCTTTTCTCTTTTTGCAACGATTGTCTAACTAACTTATTTCTGTACATTCTACTTCTAAACATTTAGAAACATTCTACAATGTTTCTCTGACAGTCCATAATTATTCCAAGTATGTCTTTGCTAAATTAAGTTTCTTGAAGGCAATATCATTATTTCTTTAGTACTGTCATTCTTTAACCTCTGGTAACTGGCACAATTCCAAGCATGATCAGAGTCTGCTAAATATACATTAACGTTTTAAATTACAGAATATTAGAGATAGAAGAGACATTATCTTGGCAAATTCCTTGTTTTATAGCTACTGTACAGTATTCAGATTATATTTGATATACAATGTCATGCCAAAATTACACAATGGCAGAATTCAAACAAGAAGTTAGATCTTTTGTTGTTGTTGTTGCTGTTGTTTTGAGATGGAGTTTCACTCTGCCACTCAGGCTGGAGAGCAGTGGCATGATCTCAGCTCACTGCAACCTCCACCTCCCGGGTTCAAGCAATTCTCCTGCCTCAGTCTCCTGAGTAGCTGGGATTACAGGCATGGGCTACCACACCCAGCTAATTTTTGTATTTTTAGTAGAGACGGGGTTTCTCCCTGTTGACGTCAGGCAATCCACCCTCCTCGGCCTCCCAAAGTGCTGAGATTACAGGCCTGAGCCACCGCGCCCAGTCCGAAGATAGATCTTCTAACCCTTGATCCAGAACATTGTGCATCTTGTCAGGGTGCTTCTCTTCATAAATTGATAGGTAAATTTACGTCTGATGTCTTTAAGAGTTACAAAGGTGAGATCATGCAGATCAGAGGCCCCCTAAATAAGAATATATCCTCAGGAATGTTCACCCCCATGGCATCACCTAACCTGGGTTTGTGTTCTTAACCTGGGTGCTTATGACAACTTTCCACCCTGGGAAACAATCTCAAAGCTTGTTATTTTTTCTGGTGATCACCCTCAGAGTTTTATTTAGAGTGTCATAATGAAAATAAGGATAGCTCTCCGTTTGTCAAAAGCTATAATAGTTCAGTTTGCATTTAAAAGTTTTTGGCTATATGTTTTATTATATATTTTATTGGAATATGCCCTGAGAAAAAAAGGAAAATACAACTCACTGATTGGAGAGTGTAGCAACCACTAGATAAGCTTATAGTGTGAGATATTTCTTATAAAATAAAGTTCTTAGCTGGCTTTACAAATTTCACAAGTACCAAAAAAATATGGATAGATCTGAAATGTGCCAACTCTATGTAAATGTCAGAGTTTTAAATTACTCTATCAGCTATATCGCTATTTTTTTCTAACACGTTTTTTAAACTGCTATTCATATCTTCTCACATATAATAAACACTACATGGATTATTGGCAAAAGAAAATTTCAAATGTCTACATTTAAAAATCGGGATTAGGACATTTCCTTATAATCATAAGAATTCTCTTTTTCTTTAAATGGAATTATTATACGGAATTTAGAGCATGCCAGAAATTATGACAATGATTATCACAAGCCTGGAATGTAGGTAAAAATTATTTACTGCAGTACTTTTCTCCCTGAAAATCTATTAACTATTGCTTTGATTTATCTGTCCCATAAATCTTGGAGAGGATGCTTTTGTAAATATATTTTTTGTAATAAGTGTATAAAGATATGTATTGAAATTTGGCAGTATATCTCATAGCATCTAAGCTCAGACACATAACTCACTTTTTCTGAAACTATGAACTATGATCTGGCTATTCTTAAACACTTAAAGCAATTTTATTGTTTTGCATTTTGACGACTCTGATGCAGTCAACACAGAATCTTTCTTTATTGTCACTGATCTGATTCTTACAAGTGCCGATCCCCTCCAAACACAAAGGTTTTACAGATCATTGTGTTGATCATGTAGTTTTACATTTGTAGTCTTCTAAACTTTATTGAATTTCTTTCTAGTAGATTTTGGAACACAGAAATATACTATAACATCACATTATGCTGAAATTTCATGACTAATGAATGTAAAATGTCCTGTAAAAAAGTACATAGCTAGATATTACCTGGTTTCCATATAATCACCTATAAAAGCATCAGGCTCCTTGTCTGGGACTTGCATTATTATCCTGCAGTCATAAAGGTGAGGTGTGTTATGTGGTTGGGAACAAAAGAACAAATGCTGTAATATCCTTTATGTACAGTTCTGGAATAATAGCATACCCTCAAGGTGAATTTTTTTTTTTACTGATGTTGAAGATATTTGGGAAAGCAAAATAAACACTGAGAAAGAAACTGTAAATTCATTTCATTGCCAGTGGCCTGATAGTTAAGGTTATGACAAGATGTTTGTGTGCCTATAGCATTGTAATTACATACCTTAGATCCTCTTTTGGTTCCTACGTTGTTTTTCACAATATCTGATAGTAAGAAATAACACTACAGAATTTAATATCCAGTTAGTATTTATATCATGATATCTCAGAGGAGTCATGGGTAATCTCACCCTTTTAACGACTAGGCTACATTACCTCTGTGTATTAGTGAACATGATAGGTACTGTTAATAGGAATTTATGATTTTAAATTCTACAAACGATTATTTTGTTTTCCTATAATATATTAAAATTATTACATGGTGAGATTTTTCAGAAAGCAGTGTTGAGTCTAAAATATAGTTGTTTTGCTTTTTGTATTGAGTTTCAAGGGATGTGAGAGGAATGGGGTAGTTTATTTCTGGTGTTTTGCAGCTAGTTACTCATGTGAATTGTCTTAATCTGTCAGTAGGAAATTGTTACACTAGTAACTAGTAAGAATTATTTTTAGAACAGCTTCCTTGGTTCTAGCAATGGAGGTGGTGGGCCAACCAGGTGAGTGGGTTCTTGGGACTCTAGGTGGTGGATGTGGCATGGGTGATGGCAGTGGTAGTGGAGGAACAACCTTCTGGATCTCAGGCAGTTTCTGCTGATGTTGGTGTTGACTGCAACAGTCTGAGAAGGCCAGTCCCCAGGCCCAGATGTGACACTTGTGGGTGGGTGCATGATGTAATGGTAGCTGCAGGTTGGGTGGGCCCAATCTCAGGCCCCCAGGAGGAGCGCTCAGGTGCCAATAGTGGCGGATGGGGCTGAGAACCTTCCCAGCCCATGGACAGCATGCTTGTACACTGGGGATTACAGAGCTGGGACGTGCAGGCATGTCCTCAGTCCCACTAGTGGGTGCTGGCCATGATAGGCATAGGTTGGTTATCCCCGGGCCTGCATTGGAATGTTCAAGGCAGAAGGAGGTGAGTTTTGGCCCTAGTGCTAGGAGGGCAGGGTTACTTTCAGTGGCTTTGTCTCTAGGCAGGTGGCAGAGAGCATGTGCTTTGGCCCCAGGTGGTAGTTTCAGGTAGGGTAGCTACCCTGTCTCAAGGGTGCTTGTAATGCATGGCAGTCCACTGCTGGGAATGGCAGGATCAAAGCCAGTGGCTCATATGTTGGGCTTGGCCACAGCAACCAGCAGTGGTGGTAACTGCAGGTGGGAAATGTCAATAGGGCTCCAGAGATGTGAAGATATATGGACTGTGGGGCCCCAGGCAAGATGCAGTCTGGTCGGGGCTGGGCTTTCAATATGGCACCTTGCTGTAGCTGCTTAGGACTTGGAATATGTGGGGACCCATCATGATCTTCTTTGGGGCAATGCCTTCATGTGGACTCCAGGTAGCTCTCTCTGTTAATCTCAGGGCCCAAAAGGGTCAAGGGGTTGTCTTGTGGCTAAGACTGCAGGAGTCTGCAATAGGATTGTGGGCAACTGGGGATGTCTCACTTACCTTTTCCCCACACTGGGGAGCATCTCCAGTTTCCCAGCCAATTCAGGCCAAGCAGGCTGCCTCACTTCCCTCATCTTCTTTGCATTAGGTGTTTCCTGTCACTCCTCTGTTGAATTCCAGTGTTATATCTATCTAATCTATTTGAAATATGATTATCTCATCACTATTTTGTTTCTCCTTTTTAGATAAAAGGAGCACCAGATTCCTCTAGTTGGTCATCTTGAAGCCCCTCCTCAATCATCAGTTGACTTTAAATAAAGATTACCCTTAATAAATTGGCGGGGGTCTCTTCCAACCAGTTGAAAGCACTCTGAGGAAGAAATTTAGCTTGTGGACTGCAGCACCAGGGAATGAAATCAAGGATTGTGTAGGAGATATGTTTTTATTAACTTGTAAAAGAGGATGCCTGAGGTCCACAATAACTTTAGTTTCAGATGTCTTTATGTAGTGGTGGGGTCTTTGACCCTGTTCTCTCCTGATTGCCCTCATTTTTTCCTGTTACTCTTTCTCAGTCCAGACTCCACTGCATGTCCTCTGCTCTATTTTCCCCTAGATTGTGGGTCTGACAAGAATGAATATTGATCAATTTTCTCTTCTCTTCTCTGCATACTCTTCTTTATAGGCAACTTATCTGTAATTGTGGTTGTAATTGTAACCATATGGTAATGATTTCCAAGTTCAGCTCATCAATCCAAATCTTTTTTTCTGAGATGTGGATCCACATACATAACTGTCTATCTGACATCTTGACTTGAACATCTTCAAGCTGCTTGAGAACCAACAGGCTCAAAACCCAACTCTCAACCTCTTCTTCCAATGCTGCCCCAGGCACAGCTACAGTTCCTTCATTGCCCAGTAGCCTTGGAAAATCAGAAAAAAATGCATGTATGCCGTTAAAGAAAAGTGTTGAGGAAATAAATTTAGTCAGTAGAGTTAACCATAATGATGTTTAGTACTTCTTCCTCAGCAACTCTGAGTTTTAAGACTAAAACTTAAGCAAATCTTGTTTTAACTCCCAAAACAAGCTTCTTGATTGATAAACATTCCAATACTTTTAAGTCCTTATATATGCTCTCAAAAACACAAACACTTTTTAATTATATATCATTATTCACAATACAGGAGGTAACAGAGATATAAATAATGAACCCTTTCAAACATTATTTTACCTAATTCTTAAAACAATTTTTGAAAGAAACTTTGTAGATAAGGCAATGCAGGCACAGGAAAATACAGTATTTTCTCCATGGTCACACAACTCGGCTGCAGTGGAGCTAGGTTTTAAATATCTGACCGAAGTCCTTGTGCTTTCAACTTCATGAATCCAAGAATTGACATTCACTTTGCTAACCTATAAGGCTAATATGTTCAGAAATAACTTAGCTAATAGCAATTAAAAATTGACTCAAACACTCACTTTATACATTCCTAGAGATTGTAACATTACACATCTTCTCATGTAACAAACATGGCATTGAGATATTGATTTGTTTTATCAAAACTATTGCATTCTTATGTAACAGCTCTCTCAGGCTGTCTTTTTAACTCAGAGTAATGTGTATGTCCACATATTACTCTGTGTATGTGCTTATCATGTCACAATTTCTTTATGTTTGACTATTTCTATGTTATTCTGTGTTAGTAGATTCTATAACCAATTTCTATTTTACCAATATTATTTTAAATAAGAAAGATTCCCAATTAGCTCACGTAAAACTGTTATTAACTTACTATTAACTTGTTATTACAGATCATGACTCAATAAAATATCCTGTGGAGAAGAAATGAGAAGAATATTTTCATATTTTTTTCTTACACATAATTGAAACTTATTCAGTAAGGTTTTCTAATAAAAAAACATCCTTTTTATCTCATAGATTTCAAATTACAAACACCTAACTTCTCATTATAAAATAAAAACTGTCATCTTGCTCATTATAGTGCCACTTACAAGGAGCAAGATTCAAATGCTTTTGATTCTGAAAACATAGTTTTTTTCCCCCTAATTTATATGGTTTAGCTGTTTACATATTTTTTCACATCTTCAGTATAGAATTAGATCATTACCAAACTCTTTATAGATTCTACTTTTAGTTACCAATTGTCTCTGACCTCTTTTCTCAGTCCTGGAAAGGTTTATGCAGCAGCCCCTTGCACCGCTGTGAATCAGGCAAAGTAACTCAAACGCTATTGCCTAGTGCCTGCTGTTAATACCATGTTTCGTTTTGTTTTCTTTTGTTTTCTTTTGTTTTGTTTTAGTATCTTATGCTACATTATATGTGTTTTTTTTTTTTTTTTTTTGAGACGGAGTCTTGCTCTGTTGCCTAGGCTGGAGTGCAGTGGCGCGATCTTGGCTCACTGCAAGCTCCGCCTCCCGGGTTCACGCCATTCTCCTGTCTCAGCTTCCAAGTAACTGGGACTACAGGCGCCCGCCACCACGCCCGGCTTTTTTTTTTTTTTTTTTTTTTTTTTTTTTGTATTTTTAGTAGAGATGGGATTTCACCGTATTAGCCAGGATGGTCTCGATCTCCTGACCTCAGGATCCGCCCGCCTTGGCCTCTCAAAGTGCTGGGATTACAGGCGTGAACCACTGAGTCCGGCCTATATGTGATTCTTCAAAGGGATTTTTAATAAGAAAACACAAGTAAATGGGCCAGTATAGATCAGAAAAATTAAGCAGATTCCAGGTATATGTATAAAAAGATGAAAACATCCTCTCTGGTCAAAATGTTTATGTCTATGCAATAAAGTTTCCACTGGCTTTTCATATGCTACAATGGCTAAAATATATATTTTTTTGGGGGTAGCTGCTAAAATTTCAACAAGAAATAAAATGTAGTAGAATTATACTCATCGTGAAGATTGTATTTAGATTATGGCCATTAAATCAGGACATGGAAAAAATCTTTTTATATTGCTTTCACTTAGATAATAATACAAGAATGGCCACTATCAGGAAGAGTACACACAATTTTTTAAACTAAAATTAGGTTATACGTACTTAAACCTTATTTGCACTTCCGTTACTCTGTGTTAAAAGTAAATATAATGTGTAATTCTTAGAATATTTCACATATTGAATGCCTTCTGGTCTCCTGACTTAACTTCAGAAAGAATTGATTTAAATTATTCCATTTTGATATCTCTTTGGCATGGATAATTTGGAATGTTTTACCTTTTTAATAACTGAATGTAGTTTAATTCAATCAGGCATGTGGGACTCTGGATCAACCATTTAGACTACACTCTGATGGCACATGCTAATATCCTTTGGTGAGTATTTAATTCTTGAAGCTCTCTGGGTCCTGTCTTTGGACCGTGCTTTACAACGTAAATAACAGTAACATTGCCTTCCTTCCTTCAGGAAAGAGGTGTTTTAATGGCTGTGAAATGCTGCCTTGCTTTCAAATGCATAATTATAGGTTTTGCATTTGCCTGAAGATTTTAATAACTTAAAAGAGGCTTTTCTAGTAATCAAAATGAAATAATTTTTCCTGATAATTACTTCAGTCACTTGTAAACAGTCAGTGATGAATATATTCATGCTGTGAAATACAAAAAGGTAATTAAATAGAATTTAGCAGTGAATATACTTTTCTCTCTCCCAGCTATTGAAATCGCTATTTATATTTAGCACTTGGGAGAAATTGATATTTTCTTAATGGAAAACAAGAAATAGCATTTTTTTCATTTTAGAAAAAAAATTTATTAAGTTTCTTATTTTCATCATTTATGATTATAAAGTAGGAACAAACTGAACAGGTGTAGAGAGTCTATGACAGAATTATGTGACTCCAGACTTGCACATCATGATGGTAGAGAGACAGGGAATGAATTCCCTTCAAAAACTGCTTTCAGAGAAGCTTCATAGGCTGAACACCATCTATAAAGAGGCAAAACTATCTCAATCTTAATTCCAGGCTTGTTCAAGACAAGACAATTTAATATTATGAAGGAGGGTAGAACTAGAGAATCCCTACAATAGTTAATGCACAGGAATTCATCAAGTAGAACTAGATATTACTGCTAGCCTTCAACCCTGAGTTAGGGCATAGGGCTAGGTTGTATTCCCTTAGAGAAGATTGGAAAAGTCAGGGCTTAGAAAAGCCTACTCAAACTGCAGATTGGTATTTAGATATATCTAGGTAAGAACGGGTGAAAATAAAGAAGAGGAAGTAAGAAGGTATCTAATACTTCTGTTCTTTAAACTCATCTATTAAGAAGATGTTTATTTGGAGGTTGGACTTGGTAGGGGAAGGCTTAGGGAATTGGTGGTGCTGATGCATAAATGTGAATATAATAAAATAAACCCTAAAATGTGTTCCTTGGGCAATTAGGTACATGGTCTTACTGGTAATAAGTATATACAAGTATCAATCCAGAGTTTAGTGGTCATGACTAAACAACCATCAAACATTTAAATCTGGATTATTTAATTCTGAGTTTTCTTGGAAAACAGAGCAGGCTGGGGCATCAATGGATGTTATAGGTAAGCAATGTGGAGAAAAATAATATTAGGGGATCAAGGTGAAAGATGAAAGTCTTCTCTACATTCCTATAACACCATCTAATGGTGCCCAGGTCTGTTCCGTGTCTCAAGTAAATTTAGAATTAAATTGCCTCATATGATTTTTTTTTCATATAATGAGATCTTTCAAATATTTCCTTTTTCTGGGAATAATTCCACCTCACCTACAGAGCTACTTAACTCTATACAATAGAATGTTAATGAATGCTCTTTGTTTCTTTAGTGTAGAAGTTTCTTGAAATCCAATATTTTAACTCTGACTTCAGAGAATTGGCATTAGGAAAAATTGAGCAGAGAAATTAAGAAAACATCAGAATTTTGGAAAAATATAAATAGACATTACTTTCAGGGAAGATAGTGGCACTATCTTATGAGTCATGGAATCTGGAAGTGAAGGTGTTTTGTAAGGGAGTCTTATGCTCTCATAGGTGAGGAAATTTAGGTTAGGATTTTTCCATATTCTCATCTAGCCAAAACTGATTTAAAAATATTTGTGTGGAGCCAATTATGTATAAGGCACTATACAAGAAATTAATGATGTACAGTGATAATTTTAAAAGTCATGCATTTTATTTAGGTTAATAATATTGTACCAATATTAGTTTTCTGTTTATGACAATGTATTATGGTTATCTAAGCTTCTGTAATTGAAGAAAGCTGCATGAAGGGTACAGGGAAACTCTGTAGTTACGTTAACAACTGCTTGTGAGTCAAACTATGAAAAAGTAATATGAACAAGCAAACAAAAACAGACATGGTGGCTATTCTCACAAGTGTTACAATATACAAACTTGGACAGGACTTAAGCAAACAATCACAAGTTATATGAAAAACCTTAACTGTAACAAGTCCTATGAAGCAAAACACTGAAACACAAGAGTTTTATGGAGACTTACACTAGTTAGAAAATCAGGAAAGCCTTCCTTGTGGAAATCAAAATGCTGAGTGAGAATTAACTAAGATGGAGGAGGAAGAGCATCGCAGACAGGTGGAACAGCAGATGTCAATATGTTGTAGTGTGCAAGGGGCATAAAGAGTCCAAGTTTATCCAGAGTATGAAGCAAAATGGGAAAGAATGCCAGAATGACTGGGCCACTAGATAATGTAGGACTTGTAGCATATAATGGAGTTTTAACTTTGTCCCAGTAGCAAAGCAAGGCCTCTGAAAGCATCTAAGATGATCTTCATATTATATGGCAATTAGTTAACCTTAGGGAAATACACGTATCCTCTTTACTAGGGAACTGAACACGTTTGCATGACACACCAATCCTGTCAGTTCACATGCGTAAGGACTTGCGGTGTATAAGTATAACTCACAATCTCAATGCTAACCTTTATTTTTAAACATTTTTATCCAAACATATCATATACACAGAAAAGTATACAAATCACAAAAGAATAGTCCCAATAGCTACATGCCTATACAGCATCACAAGTGAAGAATCAGAACATCAATCATACCCTAGGAGCCCCTTTCAGGCTCCTTCCTGATCACTTCACCTTCCCATCTCCCAACATAGGGCCACTATCTTCACTTCTGTCATGAAGCCTAACATTTGCTTCTTTGAATTTTTATCCTCTTGCTTCTTTTGAATTCTTATGTATTCTTTTGCATATGCCTTCTTTCACTCAATATTATGTTTGTGATTTATCCATGTTATTGCGTATTAGCAGGTGTTTATTCACTGTCATTATTATTTTCTTATTGTGTGGATATTTACTGATTTATCAGTTTTACTCTTGATGGATATTAGTGTTGTTTCTATCCACTTTAAAGCATGGAATGTGAGCGTTTACGCCACTATTTTCGTGTTGCAGGTTCATGTGTGCAATCTTTTATTAAAAAAAACAATTTAAGCCATAAACAGAAATAAATTGAATTATTAACCACAGCATTTAACAGATTCATAATATTTTAAGGACACTGGAGAAGAATAGAAAATTAAGGCATTTCTTATTAATGAAAACAATTGAAATATGAAAGGAACAAAATTTATAATTTTGCAAATGAGGCACTTAATTAACAATGTTTAAATCAAATGTCCAATTTTATATTTTGGTGATTCATATATAATTATGATAGAGATCTCTTAATTATATTTTTTGCAGAAAATGGAGAAGTAAAAAGTTTTATTACAGTATATATAGTTGACAAATAATGTTAGGTTTCAAAAATTCTGAAACTTTTCAAGTTTTTTCTAAAAACTTTGAGGTTTGCCTATTTGATCCATTTACTGCCCCTCCAGTTTGTGATCCACACTGTAGAAAAACAGCATTTTAGTTTGAGCCTTTGAGAAACAGTTGTTAATAAAAGATTAGACATGCAGGAGATTTATTGGGGAAAATACCTGTGAAGGAGAAAGGAGAAGGAGCCACAGAAGGTAAGGAGAGCCTTCAGACCAAACTACACATCTGACCTCTGAGAATAAAAAGGAGCAAGAAGGAGAATTGACTAGGAAGGGCTGTACAACGCAAGACACCTTTGGCGGGATAATGGGGAGTCCCTGAGCCTATGTTGTTCAAGGCATTCTAGGTTTGCAAGAGTGGGTCTGCTTTAGTATCCCTGTGAAAGCAGCTACTCAAAATGTAGTATAAATGGTCACCCCGTAGGTAAGAAATGGCAGCAGCTAGGACCACCAGTCAATTACACTTCCACAGCAGGAGATCTGAATGAAGCATTTTAATGGCTGCCACAGTCCAATTCTAGAGCTCCACACATCTACTTCCACAAATAGTTCTTCAAGAAGAGCTCCCCCATATTTTAAGTGGGCTTTTCTTCCTGAGGAGAGACCTAGAAGAGGGAAGTTGGTTGAATGATCACTCTCATCACTGGGGTTGGCCACAGAGAACATGTGGTACTCATCCTCTCCCTCCTTCACTGTGCATTCTAAATTCCTCTCAAACCCTGCTATTACTTTAGATTCAATGCCATCCTAAAGATTCAATGCCTGCTAAAGATTCAATGCCATCCCCATCAAGCTACCAATGACTTTCTTCACAGAACTGGAAAAAACTACTTTAAAGTTCATATGGAACCAAAAAAGAGCCCGCATCGCCAAGTCAATCCTAAGCCAAAAGAACAAAGCTGGAGGCATCACACTACCTGACTTCAAACTATACTACAAGGCTACAGTAACCAAAACAGCATGGTACTGGTACCAAAACAGAGATATAGATCAATGGAACAGTACAGAGCCCTCAGAAATAACGCCGCATATCTACAACTATCTGATCTTTGACAAACCTGAGAAAAACAAGCAATGGGGAAAGGATTCCCTATTTAATAAATGGTGCTGGGAAAACTGGCTAGCCATATGTAGAAAGCTGAAACTGGATCCCTTCCTTACACCTTGTACAAAAATCAATTCAAGATGGATTAAAGACTTAAATGTTAGAACTAAAACCATAAAAACCCTAGAAGAAAACCTAGGCATTACCATTCAGGACATAGGCATGGGCAAGGACTTCATGTCTAAAACACCAAAAGCAATGGCAACAAAAGCCAAAATTGACAAATGGGATCTAATTAAACTAAAGAGCTTCCGCACAGCAAAAGAAACTACCATCAGAGTGAACAGGCAACCTACAAAATGGGAGAAAATTTTCGCAACCTACTCATCTGACAAAGGGCTAATATCCAGAATCTACAATGAACTCCAACAAATTTACAAGAAAAAAACAAACAACCCCATCAAAAAGTGGGCGAAGGACATGAACAGACACTTCTCAAAAGAAGACATTTATGCAGCCAAAAAACACATGAAAAAATGCTCATCATCACTGGCCATCAGAGAAATTCAAATCAAAACCACAATGAGATACCATCTCACACCAGTTAGAATGGCAATCATTAAAAAGTCAGGAAACAACAGGTGCTGGAGAGGATGTGGAGAAATAGGAACACTTTTACACTGTTGGTGGGACTGTAAACTAGTTCAACCATTGTGGAAGTCAGTG
This sequence comes from Homo sapiens, assembly GCF_000001405.40. NCBI lineage: Eukaryota > Metazoa > Chordata > Mammalia > Primates > Hominidae > Homo > Homo sapiens. The sequence goes on along the minus strand of NC_000006.12, from coordinate 62,532,780 downwards.
TGGAGATTCCTCAGGGATCTAGAACTAGAAATACCATTTGACCCAGACATCCCATTACTGGGTATATACCCAAAGGACTATAAATCATGCTGCTATAAAGACACATGCACATGTATGTTTATTGCAGCATTATTCACAATAGCATAGACTTGGAACCAACCCAAATGTCCAACAATGATAGACTGGATTAAGAAAATGTGGCACATATACACCATAGAATACTATGCAGCCATGGAAAACGATGAGTTCATGTCCTTAGTAGGGACATGGATGAAATTGGAAATCATCATTCTCAGTAAACTATCACAAGAACAAAAAACCAAACACCGCATATTCTCACTCATAGGTGGGAATTGAACAATGAGATTACATGAACAGAGGAAGGGGAATATCACACTCTTGGGACTGTTGTGGGGTGGGGGGAGAGGGGAGGGATAGCATTGGGAGATATACCTAATGCTAGATGACGAGTTAGTGGGTGCAGCGCACCAGCATGGCACATGTATACATATGTAACTAACCTGCACAATGTGCACATGTACCCTAAAACTTAAAGTATAATATTAAAAAATAAAGAAAGAGAAAGTGAAAAAAAATAAATAAATAAGATAAAGTGGATGAGTTACAAAAAAACAAAAAAAAGAATAATCTGTGATACCAAATTAAGAGGGAAGTAACTGCATCAAAGCAAGTACCCAGAGAAAAAATAATATCATGTTATTTATTTAATTTAATATGCAGTTTTTATAAGTTAATTGTGTTGGTTGTTCCTCAATATGGCTTATAAGTTATTTCAGGAGTTAAGAAGGAAGAGGAAGTGAAGAATAATCACACTAAAATTTAGTCTGTGTCAATTTATAATAACCTTAACTTGAGTCAAGCATCTAAAATTCAAATTAAAAATATTTAATTCAGGCCGGGTGTGGTGGCCCATGCCTGTAATCCAGCACTTTCAGAGGCCAAGGCGGGGAGACTCCCTGAGGTGAGGAGTTTAAGCCCAACCTGACCAAAATGGCGAAACCCCATCTCTACTAAAAATACAAAAATTAGCGGGGCGTAGTGGCAGGTGCGTGTAATCCCACCTCCTTGGGAGACTGAGACATGAGAATAGCTTGAACCCAAGAGGCGGAGGTTGCAGTGAGCCAAGATCGAGCCATTGTACTCCAGCCTGGGCGACAGAGCGAGACTGCATCTCAAAAAAAAAGAAAAAGAAAAAAATATTTAATTTATATAATGAAATTAATTTCTTATGACCCAGTTTGGTAATTTTGGTATTATTTATATCCAGCCCTTTTTCCACTCTGTGTCCTACCTCATGTTTTGTAGCCTATTATTTGCTTTTCAGGTATCTGCTTTTTAACCCGGGACTAATGCTTTTTTTTCTTAGGGGTCAGGATAAGAGTTGTTTGTGTTTGGTAATAACCTTAGTATTCTTCTAGATATTACTCATGCACAATACATAATTCATGAGGCAAGTATTTACTAAAAACAAACAAAGCAACAGTATTTCAAGAATACCTACATTTCCATTTCCTTTCCTATTTTTATCCCTGTGAATTCTAGAAGGTTACCACCTGTAAGTTGAGAACCATTGTTTTTATCTCATATTTTGGCACTGGTTACGGAACCAAAAGTGTTATCTTCCCCAGTGGGTGCCTAACAAATATTTACCCAGTGGGTGCCTAACAAATATTCACTAATGCAAAAATTTGAGAAATATCCAGTCAGATGGTAACTTTAGTTCGATCTCTTTATTCAGGAAAGATTTTATCACTTATCTGCAAACATATCTGATACTTCTTCTCCTTTCTCTGGATTATTAAGTGTTATACTGAATCCTAAATCCGTCAAATAGATTATATTGTACACCACTGTTGATATCTTATATAAATTTCCTATTGGTATGTCAACTTTTTGTCTCCAACACAATTATAGGCAGAAATATTGGCTGTAAAATTCAAGGCACTTCATACTGCAATAGAGGAATACATAAGATGTGATGGAAACTAGGGGGAGACTATGTGAAGGGTAGTGTTAGTAAGAACTTGACAGAACTTACGAGGCTAGAATCTGAACGTTAGTTTTATAGGTTTTAAATAATTACCTTTATTTTTGTAAAAACAATCCCTAGTTCACTGATAATAATTCTCATTTATGTACGCTATTTTACCAATGTTAATAATTTATTCATTTTAAGGCTGCATTCATACTAAATAGAATGACACAGTTGAAGATAATTAGAGTCCTTTTAAGCAAGAGTTTTCTCCTGGAAAGAATGACTCATAACATAGCTAGAGTAAGAGTACATTCTTATTTCAATAACATATTTATTTATCAATTTGTTTTTGTTTTTAATCCTAACACAAAGCAGTGCAATCTGTAGGCTCATACGTTTGGTTGTAGCTGTGATTCATTCAGCCAGTACCAATGAGATCAATCCCAGTGCAGCTTCATCATCTGTTTTAATTTACTCCAAATGCTACCCTTAAAAGGTAATCCGGTGTTGCCCAGTTTAAAAACTAGGTGTTGTGTGTTCTCATAAGTCAGAAAAACTGTGCCATTTTATTTCAATATTGGCTTGACATACAATTTGTTTTTATAAAACAACAAAAAGAAAGTTTATTATCCTTTCAATAAAGATACATAATGTCCTTAATATTTGGAAATAAGTTTTAAAATGCTTCTGAGCATACATTTTATGGCCTTGTTTTGGCCGTGGCTTTAGATAGAGTAGAATAGGTTCTATTGCCATCTTGCTTGGGAGTTGTGAAAGTTTGAGTTCAAAGTTTGCTTTTGAATGTTTTTGTAAGTGTAGGAACTGTACTCAATCCCACATCCCTGGCCTCACCAATGTATGACAACAAAATCAAATTGTATTTCCCTTACATAAACAAGCTATCAGAGAAAAAGACTTACAGTAACCTAATTAAAGAAAACTAACCCAGGTGTGTTTTCCAGCTATCCCTGGAAAGAATTTCCTCAGTCCTTCTATTCTCCAGCATTTGCATCCTTACTATGGGGCTTCTCTTCCTACAGCTGCCTGGCCCAGAGAGTTGGCTTCTTGTGTGATAATTGCTGGTGACCACAATACAGTCTTGGGCAGAGGACAGTGCCTTTCTTCCACATAAAGTGTGACTCCAGGAGGCTCACTCCTAGGAGCTCAGGACCACCTTGTAGTGGTTGAATTGAAGTGGCAACCATCAGCCATTGCAGCCTCCTCTAATTGCCTATCTGAACTGCAACAGCCTGGAAAACTGAATACTTTTCACAGTCTATCTGATAGCCAGAGTCATGGATGCAAATTAATCTGCCAATTAAATACATTCCCAAGAGAGGGAAGAAGTAGGTTGCTTCTGCTGTTGCTGCTGGCAAACTGGCCATGGATGTGTGGAATGTTTTCCCAGGGCCATGCTCCATTCACTAGCTTTGGGGTTGTTAAGAGGTAAGTACACTGGTGGCAGTTCCTTGGTCCCTGGGTCACTGCTGCAGCGGTATGTACCTGAGTCTGACTGTCTAAGGAGCAGTCTCCCAATGCCCCCTCCATTCCCATTGTGACAGAGGTAGATGTTCTTCTGGCAGGCCAGTTAAATAATGTATTTTGAGGGCTTCATTCCTGAATGTTCAGTCTACAGTCCTCACAACAACTTCCTCTTTTAAATCCTTTTCTCCTAAAATAGCTAGAGTGACCTAGAGCGACTGCTGTTTCCTGCAACTGAACTAAGACAGATATTCATTTTGAGTATTACTCATGGCTGCTCAAACCTAGCTTGCTTCAGAGACTTTTTCTACATCATTTCATTGCATTTGCAGCTGTTGCTATCACTGATGAACACTACGCCTACTTTAGTAATCTTAGTCTCAAACTGCTTTCACATGGTAAAAAAAAAAAATACCTAAATATCATTCCTGAAATAGTTATGGAACACATCCTGTCTTATAATCAGAGAACTGTTAGTATCAAATTATAGAAAAACAAGGAATTCCTCTACTTTGCTATTCCAGAAACCTAATTCATTTATTATTCTAGAAGTGACCCCATGCCGATAGTTGACAATGACATCAGTTCTTTTCAGTTGATACCTCCCTACACAGTCAAGTTTTTTGTGTCTCCCAAATAGTCATAATATAAACTGACATGTACATAATTCCTAAATAAAAATTATCCCTTTTATGTTGTCTTTGTTTTCTTTATAATACTAGTAATTATTATATCAGAGCAAGCTGTAATTGTATCATTATACCTGTCTGCAGAATACTAAGTCAGAAAAATTTTAGTTTTTACCAATACAACAAAAGTGGACATTTCTTATACACACATTTATTCTTCTGTGGTTTCCATGTTTTTATTTTATTTATTTTATTATTTTTATTCATAGTGTGGCCAACTTCTTTCTTTTATTAATTTTATCTTAAGTTTAGGGGTATAAGTCAAGCTTTGTTACTTAGGTAATATTGTGTCATGAGGGTTTGTTGTACAGATTATCTCATTACCCAGGTATTAAGCCTAGTACCCATTAGTTATTTTTCCTGATCTTCTCCCTCCTCCCACCCTCCACTCTCCAAAAATCCCCACTGTGTTTTTCCCTCTATGTGTCCATATGTTCTCGTCACATAACTCCCACTTATTAGTGAGAACATGCTGTGCTGGTTTTCTGTTCCAGTGTTAGTTTGCTAAGGATAATGGCCTCCAGCTGCATCCATGTCCCTGCAAAGGACATGATCTCATTTTTTATGGCTGCATAGTATTCCATGGTGTATATGTACCACATTTTCTTTATCTAGTCTATTATTGATGGGCATTTAGGTTGATTCCATGTCTTTGCTATTGTGAATGGTGCTGCAATGAACAACATGTAAGCACGTGTCTTTATAGTCGAATGATTTATATTCCTTTGGGTATATACCCAGTAATGGGATTGCTGGGTTGAATGGTATTTCTGTCTTTTCCATGTTTTAAAAAGCTATCTATTTTCTTAAGGACCTAGACTTACTAGCTAACGTTAAAATCAATTTTTTGTTCTGTGAATATTTTCACTTTAGTCTTTTACTAAATTCATTTCAGATAAAATTATGTACTGTCTTTGTACATTAAATGTAACTATGATTCACTTACATATTGATATGGCTTGGCTCTGTCCCCACCCAAATCTCATCTTGACTTGTAGCTCCCACAATTTCCGTGTGTCGTGGGAGAAACCCAGTGGGAGGTAATTGAATTGGGGCAGGTCTTTCTGGTGCTGTTCTCATGATAGCAAATAAGTCTCATGAGATCTGATGGTTTTATAAAGAGGAGTACCCCTGCACAACCTCTCTCTTTTTGCCTGCTGCCATCCATGTAAGATGTAATTTTGCTCCTCCTTGAATTCCACCATGATTGTGATGCCTCCTCAGCCGTGTAGAACTGTAAGTCCATTAAACCTCTTTTTCTTCCCAGTCTCAAGTATGTCTTTATCAGCAGCATGAAAGCAGACTAATACACATATATATCCACTTTCAGATTTTGACTCCCAAAACCCACAGATTATTTAGTTTGCCTGACTAGGGTTATACCTTGGACACATGAGTGTTTAATTTTTTAACTTTATAATGAAAATTTTTTGAGATTTTATTTTTAGTTATGGATATATTCATTTCTCAGATTGTGATAACTTAGTTAGAATATACCTTATTTTAGTCTGTTCAGGCTTCTGTAACAAAATACCTTAGATTAGGTGGCTTAGAAACAACAGATATTTATTTTTCACAGTTCTTGAGGCTGAGAAGTCCAAGAGGAAGAACCAGCAGATTCAGGATCTGAAGAAAGCCCCATTTCCTGGTTTATAGATGGCTGTCTTTTTACTGTTTCCTCATATGGTGGAAGGGGCAAGGTAGCTCTCTGGGGCCTATTTCACAGTGGCAGTAATCTCATCATGAGGGCTCTGTCTTCATGACCTAATCACCTCCCAAAAGTCTCACTTTCTAATACCGTCAGCTTGGGGATGAGAATTACAACATATAAATTTTGGAGGGACACAAACATTCAGACCCATAGCATACCTAGTATATCCAGTTTTTATTGTGGCTATAAATTCTTTGCTACTCCTTTACCGAGAGATAGAGTCTAATTTCCTTTCCTTTGAAACTATGCTTGTCTTATAACTTGCTTGTCTAATAAGATATATAAAAAGTGACATCTTGGGAATTTGAGGCTCCACCATATCAAGCTTTGTAAATTTTACTCAGACTTTTTGGAACATGTGCTTTTGGGTACTTCACAAATCCAGCTGCCATGAAGAAGTGCCATGATCCCGAGACTACCATGATGTGAGAAGCATCTCTGTGGACCTTCGCTAGAGGATCAGACACCACATAAAGAGAGAAAAAGAAAAAGAGACAGGCAGACAGACATGGACCAAGGAGTTCTGAGGCTCAGAAATGCAAATGAAGCAGCCATCCTGGAAGAGGATCCAGCAGCAACCTGCCACCCCAGAAGATTTCTTCAAGGATGAAAGATAAACTGTCAATCTCTTCACAAACCTCAGACCCTTGAAATTGTAAGCAAAATAAAATTGTTGTTTTAAATAATCAAAAGTTCAAAAGTTCAGGGACATTGTAGATACAGGGAAAACCTATAAAGGGAAATGACATGTGCTCCATCATGTCAGTGAAATGATTTGGTATAGATATATAATACACTGTGCACAGAGGGGTGGTGGGAGTTAAGTTTGAAGGAACAGCAAAATTAGTGATAATGTAGGTCCTTGTTGGTCATATATAGTGTCCTGTATTGTAGTAGAGAACTTTTAAAAAACTTTAAAAATAGTCACACCAAGGTAACTAATAGTCCCCTAAGTATTTGACAGTTCCAAACACAATGCAAGTATATTTCTTTCTCAATTAAAAAATCCAAAACATCTGAGACAGATCTAAATTAACTTGACTTGGAAAGATGGAAGTGTGACAGTGCTCTACTCTATACCATCAGTCACAGCCCCAGAGTGAGGCACACTCTGCTGTCTTCACCAGTTATGTCCAAGGTCACCCTGGGAGTCCAAACCCCGCAGACAGAAGGAGAAGAGCATAGTGAATCGAATCTTCAATTCTTTATAGGCCAAGTTTGAAAGTGTCCATATATCACTTCAACCCACATTTCCCTGGTTAGAAATCAGTCTTAGGACCACACCTCACTGTAACAGAGTCTGAAAAATGGAATCTAGCCATGTGTCCAGAAATAAAAGAAAATAATTCTCCTGAACAACCTGCAGTATCTGTCACAAGGGTAAAATTAATAGATTTTGAAAACGAATTAGATGGGAGAAGTGTGACAGGGAAGATGTTCAGTATGACAAGCAGATTTCTCATGGGCAATTTAGTGGGTACTCATCATTTAATTAGAATAAGAAACACAGAAAGGAAATATCATCTACAGGTTTTATTATGATTGGATAATGTTAACAGCAGCAGGTTCCCATCACTTCTGCACTTCTATTTCAGATGAGGAACCTAAGGCTGTGAGAGGTTATGTAAATTCCTTAAGGTCATACACCTATTAAGTGACAGGTGAGGAATCCAAGATATGTCTATTTAATTTCAGCATTCACAGCTTTAACTACAGGTACAGCATCCTACTTAGATCAAGAAACAGATGTAGTCCTATAAGGGAAACTCTAAAAATGAGTTTTCATGCCATGAGAGCATAGAGAATGTTTGATGGTAGGCCTGTTTCTGAGCTTGCTAAGGGAGGGCAATACAAAGACCAAAGACATTAAGATGAGTGAATTGGTCCTGGGCCATAGACCACAGCTCCTCTGTGTGCACAAATGAAGAAAAGGCTGATGGAACAGGTAGGAACCACTTGCCTTTCAAAGCTGGGAAAGGAATCAGAGGAACACTCTAGATTTGGGAAATCTCACACTATAATTTCTAAACCAAGAAACCACGTGAGGTGGTAGGCTAACATTCTCCATGAATGTAGCTCTCAAATCCCAAATTCAGAGGGAGGCTATATGTACTGCTTGATGATCTGTTGGGTAACACTAAAAATAAAATTAAAAAACCCAACAACTTCTATCCAGGTCATTCATATCCTATCAAACAGTTTCACTGAGGACTGAAGCATGCCCATAAAATTTATATTTTATTGCTTCCTCATATATCAGGTTAACTACCAACTAGTATCATGTTTGCCCTGGAGGCTTCCACCATTTTTCCAAATAGAGTACGACAAAGACTACTATCTATTCATGAAGCCTGTGTCTCCTTCCTCCTGAACCCCCCCGGAGCCCACAGCTACACTAAATTTCCCAGAGTCTTTGCTGTTGAGTTTGACAATGTGACCAAGTGCTAATCAACATCATATAAGAATACATGATGTAACATTTACAGGCCTAGCCTATAAATGTCTCCCTAGTGTGTAATCTCCCTTCATGCTCTTTCTCCATCTACTCTGTACATAAATGATTTCAAAATCCTAAAGGATGTTAGAACAGCATATACATGTTGACAGCAACATGAACACGAAAAACATACTCTTACACAGTTAAGCTAATGAAATATTGGGGATTGCTTGTTACAACAGCTACTGTTACTGTAATGCAAGAAGGCAGATGATATTTTTAATAAGGTTGAAAATGTCATATTATAAGAGGTGTGAATTTTTGTTATGTATTATATTTCCACTTTGAGGCATTGTTCCTTTCCTTATGATCTGTGTTCTAGCCCAGCAGAATTCTGCAGAAGTTATTTAGTGGAAGGCAGGAGAAGGCAAGGCTATGAAGAAGAGAAAGGATATGAGAGGTAAGAAGGGAAGTAGAAACAGTGGCACAAAAGCTAAGGAGGAGTGGAATTTAAAGAAGCTCAGCTTGACCACAGAGTCAAATGCCACAGTGTAATCAACTAGCAAGAAGAAAAACAAACTTGAATTTACCAGTTGAGGTCACAAATGCCAATAAATGTCAGAAAATATTTATTTAGTACTTAGAATATGCCGGGCAGTGTACTAGCCAGAGAGATAACAAGGAACAAGGGAGACAAGATTCTTTCATAGAGTTTGCATTATAGAAGAGTGGCTCCTAATGAGAGCTTATTTGAGACAGATTCAATTTGATTGTGGAGTTACCGAGTATGAAAGAAGTAAACACAGCAGGGTAAAGGAATAGTTAAACTGCATTAACCAATATCAAGCCAGATAGCTTCAGCATACTGAAGAAAGGGAAGGGTGCTATGAAATGAGTTCAGAGATAAGAAACAGAGGCAAGATAATACAGGGCTCTATAAAAATTGGGGGTATTCATAAGTGTGATAATAGATCATTAGCAGGCTTAAAATACTATTTTTCATTTAAATATTTGTCTTTCACTTTTGAGAAATATTGGCTAATTATTTTTTAATAGTGTCCTGATTTGGGTCTATTTGATGTTTCCTCCTGCTTGAATTCAGGTTATTCATTTTTTGCAAGAATTCTAAAATGTGGCATGATGCTCTGAAGAGGGAGAGGCCACATATCAGGAGGCACATGAGGTCAATATGTCTTATTGCTGATGATATGAACTTTGATTACTTGTTTAGTGTAGTGTATCAGTCAGGGTCCAACCAGGAAACAGAAAATACATTAATAATCTGATCAGGGAAATTTTATTATAAAGAATATTAAGTATAACCGTGGTTTGAAGTAATTGGAGATTGCTAGTAAGAGACAAAGAGAATGCTGAAGAATACAGGAATAGTAGATGTAAAAAAAAACCAGCCAGTACACTTAGGGTTGATACAGAGCCCTCAGAGGAGGAACAAGTCTGGAAGAGAGCCTTCTACAGGGCTGAGATCCAGATCTCTTTGGAGAGGGTAGAGTCATAGCTTCCTGCATGGTGGGGAAATTCACTGAGGTCTGCACTGGTGGGACTAGAAATATACCTTTTGGGATTTCAAGGGAAGCTGTCCATTAGGAGATGATACATGGGGGAACCTGCTGCAAAGCCACATAAGAGTATTTTGAGGGACTCTGTATGTGGGGGTATGCCAGGCAATGACACTTGTTGAGCAACCACTTGAGGGGGTACAGATGCTGCTGACATCTTCATGCTGCAGGAGTACGCACTTCAGCAGATGCTATGCACCTCGCAAGAATTCACCAAAGGAAGCACACCAGAACCAGAACTAAGAAGAAAACGTAACATTGTGCCAACTGGCCAAGGAGAGATATTTACAGAGAAATCAATAAAGGGTAGATTGGATCTGATAATGATTTCTTCATTATAGTCACTATTTTTCTCCTTGTTATTAATAAATATCTTGAGGAAAGATACGATGAGATTACACAAATACGCACCTACAGATTTTAGCTTCTATTAATCATTTTTGTCTGAATAATTTATTACTGTGCTATTTTCCAAATGTTAATTTAATATTTCCATAATCTTCTCTACATTCATTAATTGAAATTTTCTGTAAGAGTTGTCAGTCTTCCTGTTTAACTATTTACTCATTTATTTGCCTGAGTAGGTACTCATGGGTAATTATTTAATTTTATGGGTTATAATATATTGCTATTATTATTGGTTTTGATGTTTAATTTTTCCCAGATTTAGCTACTGGGAGCTCTTTCAAGGAGGCTCCTTATTCCTTTTGGCATGTTTCCATGATCTTTTCCCATTCTCTAGCACTACAAAATATCCTGAGGTTTTCCTCTATTTTCCCCACCTCAATGCTGGAATAAACCCTATCACCAAGAAACTTTAGTTTACTTTTAGTGATAAATCTTATTTAAAATTCAAGATCTAGATGCTAAGTATGTTCTTTGTTACTGGAGTGACATTGCCCTCTGAGTACTCACAACTAGAAAATATTGGTGTACAAACGTATCTGTATCTATTTCTAAATATACCTGTGTGTATGTATATATGTGTTTATATGCATATAAATCACACACTTTTATGTATATATGCATATGTACATATGTTATTATGTATGTCATGCTCACAGGAGTGCCATTTTCTTCTTCTTATTTCTCTCCTGTTCACATTTCCTGCATTTTTTTTACCTTACTCCCAGCCACCCAATCTCTAATGAGTAACCAGTCTCATTAGTTTCTAGTTTATTCCTCTAGTATTCTTTTGCACAGATACCTTTTTTTTCTTCTATCTCCTTCTTTCTTACATGAAAGATAACAGCACAGATAGTCTTTACAATCTGCTGTATTCACTTATAGAAATATGGCTATATCCGCATATACATTTCCGACATAGGAGTTAGGGTGTTTTCTTCTAATATTTATATTGTTTCCTTTTTAACATTTAGATCCTGATTCATTTGAAGTTTATTCTTGTGTACAGTATGAAGTACAAATGTAATTTTATAGTTTTCCTGATAGCTAGTAAGTTGTCACAGCACCATTTGTTCAAATCTATTTTTAAGTTATTTTTTAAGTTATTCTTGCCTGTTTAGTCTTACCATAAGATTAGTGATTTGGGATGCTACCTTTATTGTGTACTCATTTTCCACGTGTATTTGATTCTAATTCAGGGCCTTCTATTCTATTCCGCTGTTCTATTTGTCATATGCCAGTGCAACACTGTTATAATTAAGAGCTTGAAAATATATCTGAAGTTTTAGTAGGGCTACTACCCCATGTAGTTTTTCTTTTTATTAGTGTTTTCCTGGCTATTCTTGCATATTTAGTTGTACTGTATGAACATTAGTATTAAATTGTCTAACTTTATGTAAAAGCTTGCTGGTATTTTTATTAGAATTACATTGACTTTATAAATTACCTTTGGGAGAAGTGGCATGATTATGATGTTGAGTCATCCTATTCAAGAGCAGACGACATCAAATTTTTAGTCTACTTCTGTGTCTTTCAGAAGTGTTTCAAAGTTTTCTCATATGAATTTTGCATATGTCTTTTCTTTTCTTTTTTTTTTTTTTTTTTCAGAAGGAGTTTTGCTCTTGTTGCCCAGGCTAGAGTACAATGGCGTGATCTCAGCTCACTGCAACCTCTGCCTCCTGGGTTCAAGCAATTCTCCTGCCTCAATCTCCTGAGTAGCTGGGATTACAGGTGCCCGCCACCATTCCCGGTTAATTTTTATATTTTTACTAGAGACGGGGTTTCGCTGTGTTGGCCAGGCTTGTCTTGAACTCCTGACCTCAGGTGATCTACCTGCCTCGGCCTCTCAAAGTGCAGAGATTACAGGCGTGAACCACCGCAGCTGGCCTAAATTTTTTAAGTATTTAATCTTTGTTGCTGTTGCAATGGAGTTTTCTCTAATAGTATGTCCTCTAGCTGGTTTTTGTCTATGTAGATGAAAGCTATTGATTTTTGTTGTTAATTTTGTTCCTTACTGAATTGTTTTATTGTTTTATATTATTACGTTTTTAGTGTTCAATGATCAGTTTTATCATTTCTTTTGGGTTTCCAAAGTTCACTATCATATCATCTGCAAGTAGAGATTTTTTTTTCTTCTTTACTAAATGTTTTGCCTCTAGCTGATTTATCTTTTCTGGTTTACTTTTTTGGGGGTGCTAATCTATATGGTAGAATATTGAATAGTGCAGATAGTGGGCATCCTTGCTTTGCTCTTCATCTTAGCAAAATACTCCTAATGTTTTTATTCCATAACATACTTGCTTTAGAGCTAAAATATTATTTATTTTCTTGAGTTTTCATGAAGAAGTGTTAAATTTGTCAAAGTCTTTTTAGCATCTACAGAGATATTTACATGATTTTATACTTTAATATATTATCACAGTTCATTATTTCCTAAGTTAACAAAATTTACATTACTGAAATAAATTCTATCTGATCACGTGTATTATTTTATTTTCTTAATGTTCTATTGGACTCAGCCTTTTAATATTTTAACTAGTATTTTGTATTAATATTCACAAATATGTTTCTATATCAAATTTTGTTATCAATGTTAACTCACTTGATAAAAATAGACAGTCTGATTCATTAACAATTATCTTGAACCATTTATGAAGTATTAACTGTATCTGGTTTTTGTAGGTTTGGTAGAATTTTACTTTGGAAATATCTGGGTCAGCATTTTCCTGGTGAAAGAGGGTGAAGTTACTTAATTACTTTCTCTGTCTCATCTAAGAAAATCAGTCTGTTTATGCTTTTCAATAGGATTAATTTTGAAAATCTGTATTTCCACAGGAAATTATCTGCTTCAATTATATTTTCAAATGTATTTACATGGAGTGAATGTGAGTAGTCTCTTATGATTTTTAAAATTTCTTCTGTCTCAATGGTTCTTTCTTTTTCATCCTTAGCACATGCTTTACTTTTCTCAGTAGCCCTTACTTATCATTTGAGTTTAGTCTTTCATATGCAATTTGAAATTTCATGTTTTCTGATATATATATTATTTCTAACAATTTTTTTTCTTTTAAGCTATTATTATTATTTTTTTAGAGACTAGGTCTCACTATGTTGCCTAGGCTGATATCAAATTCATGGGTTCGAGTGATTCTCTAGCTTCAGCCTCCCAAAGTGCTGGGATTACAGGCATGAGCCACTATGCCTGGCCAATTTTTTGTAATTTTCATTTTTATTTGCCATTTCTGTTTCTAGTTTTAAAATTTTGTATTCAATATAGTTTTTTCCATTGATCAATAATTTTATAAATACATCTATTCAATCTGGAGTATTGCCTTACATTTTCTTCGGCTTTTCAGTTGTTACATCAGGAAAACTTTGAAGAGTTGAGGTTTTTGGGGTTTTCTTGCTCAATTTTGGAGGAATAACTCTCAATAAGATTTGATGATCAACTGGCCGTCAGAATGAAGGGAAGGAGGAAGAAAAGAGTATACTTCTGGCTTTAGCAAATTGATGGTTGGGCTGATTTTTATTGTAATGAGGAAGACTGAAGGTGAAGTACATTTTAGGATTGAAGAATTCAGTTATGGTTCCGTTAACTCTGAGATGTTTAGTATGTATCCATTTGGGGATGTGAGTTTGACTATTGGTTTTCTTATTCTGAAATTCTAGGACAGGATTAAACATGGAGTTTTCTGTTCGTTTCTTCTTGTTTTTTGGAGGACGAAGTTTCTTTCTTGTTGCCCAGGCTGGAGTACAATGGTGTGATCTCAGCTCACTGCAACCTCCGTCTCCCGGGTTCAAGTGATTCTCCTGCCTCATCCTCCTGAGTAGCTGGGATTATAGGTGCCCACCACAACAACTGGCAAATTTTTATATTTTTAGTAGAGACGGGGTTTCACCATGTTGGTTAGGCTGGTCTCGAACTCCTGACCTCTGGTAATCCACTCACCTTGGCCTCCCAAATTGTTGTGATTACAGGCGTGAGCCACCGCGCCTGGCCGAAACATGGAGTTACCTTGTTATATGGTTTTATCATTGGTCTTTGGGCTCTTGTAAAGTTTACTAAAACTTAAAATATTCAGGAGAAATGTTCACATTTGAGTGTCTTTCCCTAGGTGAGTACTTCATCTTTCTCTTGTGAGTCATGTTTCTTTATTTTATCACCTTCTTACAGCAGTAGGTTTTTCAGGAGCCATCATGCCTCTTCTTTACATCTTATTCATGTTTAACTTAAGCAGTTTTGTCCTGATTAAGATGAGTTCAGCTGGAATTACATATACCTCTGTACTATTTTCTGAGACTGTTTTAACTATCCTGTGCCACCTATACTTCAATCTAGCAGGGAATGCAGCCAGTCATTATGAGGAGGTACATGAATTCTGATGGCTCCCTAACTTTCCAAAAGACCCTAGAGGCTCTATTGCTGTCAGAGTCAGGTACCACTTTTCATTTCCATCACTTAACAAGACTCTCTGACAGCTATTTGTACTTTCACCACCATCTTGTGTGGTGGTACAAAAACGTACAAAGGTTCCACCATCTTGTAACCTTTCATTTTTAAAAATTCTCATCCCTGAGTCAAGAAGGGGAAAAAATGATGCCCTTAAGCCTAATTATGTACACATTTGATAAACGAAGTCAGAACTGTGACAATTTTGTTTACTCAGAGGTCGGGTTACAGGTATGTTAGAAATAATGTTACTCCAGAATTTTCTAGTTCTTTTCTTCGCTGTCACATTTTGAGGTTTATGGTATTAAGTTAAACTTCCTGTGTTTTAATACTAGTGAATTTTTGTCTTAGAATATCAAATTTACTTGTTGTTGTGCATTGGAGTAGGAAGATGATTTGATCTGGCATCACTCTACTCTCTGGATATCGAAGTCCTAAATTAATAGTTTACACGATGCAGTAACTAGTAGTCAGCTGCAAGGGTCTAAAGGACTCAATAATAAAAATATAGAGGCAATAGGTTAGGCTACTTTTCTCTTTCTGAAAAATAATTATGAAAGTATAAAGAAGACATAAATATTGAAGAAAGAAACGTAGCAAGTTCAAATTACTTTTTGTTTTAACATGGAAAGATATGTGCATGCTGTAGGTTTGAAGACAAAAGAGAAGGTGATTTTTAACATAACTGTAAAAGTCACTTATATCGTGGTCATTGATTTTTTAGCCTTTCACAATGAGCATAACTCATATTTTTAAAGTCTTTTGTGAGAATCAATTCACCAATATCTACAAAGACACTATAAAACTAAAAAGTTGTGTTTTTTTTTCCCCCTGTGAATTTGTCTTATTTCCTTGCATTCTTAACTATTTGGTTGTTCCAAAGAACCTTCAGCAGGTTCTGAAGAACTTATGGCTGTTCCAAAAAACCCTCAGTGATCAGACGCTATTTGTTGCTTGAAGAATTTTAGTGTAGGGGGAAAAAAAAAAAAAAAACCACGAGCCAAACAACAAAAACAAAAAACACCTTCTAATGCAGAGATGGCAAACGTGTAGCAGGATGCCCTCATTCTGCTCTCTCTGCCTGTGATATTCCTCATCAGCTGATCACAGCTCTTTCTTATGCTGAACAGAGCTGTGATCTCAGAATTCGTCTTGATTCAGACATCTATTATCTTTTCCCACTAACAATTGAATTGAATAAATAATTAAAATGGAAGTGAATTTTCCAGTCTTGCTTGAGATGAGTGGTTCTCAGTCTAGTCTGTGTGCTGGAGGCACCTGACAATTACCTAAAAATCATCTCTGCCTGTGCCCCGTCACAGAGTTCTGATTTCCTTGTTTTTAGCTGTGGCCTGAGTATCACTATATTTCAGAACTCCCTGTGTGATTTTAAAATGCAGCCTGAAAAATCCTGATAGGTACTTCTTTGGAAAACACGGGCTGATTGTTCAGTCTGTGCTGACCTTCATTAGGGAACTGTTATTCCTTCTGCTACTGCCACAGTAGCTGCTTCTGTAATGCAAATACTTTTCTCAGGAGACCTGTTTCCTGCCAGCAACTGTGACGCTGCTGGAACTGACAAGAGGAAGCCCACTAGGTTTGAGGGCTATCTTGGTTGTGGGTAATTTAAAGAAAACCTTCTTCCTGCCTGGCCTTTGTTTCTAAAATTAGATTTTCATATTAATTGGTCTTTCTTAGTGTCTTTTTACATACAGTCAATTCAGGAACCTTGTTTAAAAAAAAAGTTGAAGTAGGGATACCACGTAGTCTATTCCCTTCATTTTCAAAAAAATACATTGAAGGTCAGAGTAATCAATAATTTGTCAAAGGTAACAAACTTGATAGTGGTAGAACTCAGTTGAGAATTCAGATCTCCTTTTTCTAACTCCCATGATGGTGGTTGGTTTCCTGGGTTAAATACTTCTTAGAGCCTTGGCCTTCATCGTTTACCTGCAATTGTTAAAAACAAAAACATAGGCCACTTTTATTATAGTCTGATGCAACTCTCAGAAAAAATAGTAACAAACACCACTTACTAACTAATCAGGAATATCCCAAAAAGCACATTCATCCATCAGCAGGGCCCCTCCTCCAACCCCAAATACTTACTGACTTGCCATACTAATGAGAAGCAATGTTTTACCAAACCCTTCCTTTCTCATTTTTAATGACTCACTGAGATGTTTTCTTTAGAAGTTTGACAAACTACACTGAGCTTGTGAGCTCCCTGATACACAGTCCACATTTTCAGAATACATTGTTTCATGCTACTAAATAATTTACCCTGGAATGTAATGATACTCTAGCTAATAATTGGCTAGATAAACTTAGCAAAAACTAGGGATGTAATAGATCTGAAATAAAAGACAACATAAAATAAAAATAAACCCAAACCTAGGAACCAATGGGGATAGCACAATTTAAATTTGGATTTTACTAGTATTCAAATTAGAACTCTCTTTTTATGAAAACCCCCCAAAATTGAAAGAAATACCTTAAAATAATGAATTAATTTTTAAAAACTATGTCAGGAAAAGTGCTACTATAGTGAGACTTCTCTTATGACACAACTTACTACTATACAGAATCATATCACCAAGGTCAAACTATATTCAGACATTAATATTGATATTAAAAATATTTGGCAGAAAAACAATCAACACATGAGACATTAACAAATGTTAATCTACTCTAAGATTATCATATTAAAATTGTTGTAAATAAGTATGCTGCAAATAAGTAAGTTTTCTGCACAAGGCTAAAATTCTTGTTTAAATCAGTTAACAATTTTATAGCAGAAATATTAACACTGAAATGAAAATCCTTATTATTCTTCAATTGCTTTGAACCTAGATTTAGGCCTATCCATTCAGTATTGCTAATAGGCAGACTAAATACGAAAATATGCATAGAGTGCTTAATTCAGAGACCAGCAACTAACATATAATTTTGACAATAGTACACATGATGTCAAAGCACCATCCTTGGATATTTATTTTAATGAAAATCTGTAGACAAATTGGTACAGAGGTAAAACAGGTGATTAAAATTAGAAATAAAATAATTATTTTAATACAATTTTATGTACAGGAGGTAGTATGGTCTAATCAAAGGAAAAGCTCAATTCTCTCATTAGCTAGCTATGTAACCTTAAGCAAATCTTATCATCTGGGAAGTATGTGTGCTTTAACAAAGAAGTAACCTTCAAATAAACCAGTGTAATGTGGTATAGATTGTCAAGCGAATAGGCTTCCTGCCTCCAAACATCATATATTCAGTCATCTAAGCATCTGGTATTTCAAAATGATGTGCCCTGTCCTTTGAGTTAAACTTGGCTTTGGCCTTGGTAGCCTTTCTTGGAAACGAAAAGGTCTCTATACAATGAATTCAATGGGTAGATAGAAAGCTAGTACGGACTTCTGGGTGGAAGAGTTCTTGAAAGAGACAGAATGAAACTATTATGCCTGCAAAGAAGTAAACAATGTCTAAAAAGAGAAGGATGATATGTTTAAAATAAGATGAACAAGAAGAAGACATCTAAAAGGTATTAATCCCATTTTCTGAGGACATGTTTATTTATCAGAGATCAGTTTTGCTTGGGGTAAACAAAGTTTTCTTCATTTTTTTTTTAACTTTGGTTTGTTCTAGGATTAAGCAGAAGTCAGATTGCATTCTGAATATGTGATTTGAATATGAGATATGCAAATATATTAATTTAATTAAAATGTATTGACTTTAAAACAGCTATATTTCATCCCAAGGAAAGGCATTGTAAAAAGGAAATAAAGCATATAAATATATGTGGGCAAATTAAAAATAGTAAAAATAGAAACATAAAAAGATCTACACTTTAAGCATTTTCCTCACTACTTAAAAGTCTTTTGCTATAACAGTATTTCTGAGATAATAGACCTCATCCCAATATGATTTCAGGAGATAAAGGATTTCAGGAGATCCTTTGCTGTAACATTGCCAGGCTTTTTGAAACACTCCTCCTTACTTTAAATGAATACGTTTCTATGCTTTTCCAATCTGTAAAATTAGTAACATCGCCACAAATAAAAGTAGTACAGTAACCTCTAAAAAGAAGCTGAAACTTGTGATGACCAAGTTGATCAAACAAAAAACCTCACCAACAGAAGAATTTGAGGTGGAGATGTAGAATATAGAATTTGTCCCACTTTTGAAATGTTGAGAAGTACAGTAAATGATGTACTATTCCAAAAAGAGGAGGCCATTATCTTTAGCAAACTAATTCAGGAACAGAAAACCAAATTCCATGTGTTCTCACTTATAAGTGGGAGCTGAATGATGAGAACACATAGACACATGGCGGGGAACAACACACACTGGGGCCAGTCACAGGGCAGCGGGGTAGGAGGAGGAAGAGGATCAGGAAGAATAGCTAATGGGTGCTGGGCTTAATACCTGGATGATGGGATGATCTGTTCAGCAAACCACCATCGCACACGTTTACCTGTGTAACAAGCCTGCACATCCTGCACATGTATCCTTGAATTTAAAATTAAGAATCTTTAAGTTTAAATCGAAATAAATACCTTCTATATATGCTCACTGTGAGGTCTACATAAGTAACTATATATAAATCACATCATTTTGGAATTACCACATGGGAAGTGGCAAATACAATTTTATGTTTCCTAGTTGAAAAAAAAATCAGCTCTGCCATTATTTAGCTGTATAATGTTAAGCAGGGGTTCTCATTTGAGGAAATGTGTGCTTTAAACCTGACATAAAAACTCAAAATGATGTAGCCTCTCTCCATGACCTCTCACTCCGACAACCTAGTCAAATGCTAATCTTTGATATTCAGCACCATAATTAGAAAATCCTTCTCTAGCCTGGGGATCAGTTTCAGTTGTTTTGAAGATAAAGCTAAAATAGTGGGTGTTCAAGTATCAAGGATATGAGGATATTTTATAGCTACATCTGGAGCCTGCCTAAGGTCAACTTGACCCATCAAGAATGCCTGTTCTCTTCTCTCTCTCCTTGAACATTCCAGGTGGTGCAGAATTTTGCTCTGCTCCTTTGCCGCTTTTCAAATCTATTCATCACCTCTGACAATGGGGTGCAATAAGAATACATTGTTTCCTTATTTGATTCTGTATATGTCCCCATCAATTGCAAATTTCTGCATGAAGAGGCACTCAAGCCACCATTCTAAATTATAGGTTGGCACTTGTATAAATTGAATTTGTAAGCAGAAGCCATTTGCTTGTAGTTTTCTTTGCTTTTAGATTTTATATAATTACAAACACATATTCATGGTTACTTTATTGCCACTACCAGAAGGGCACAGCATGATGGTGCAGCCAACTACAGAGAAGTATAAAGTGAATCTCGAAAATCAGTGGGTCCCAAGGTATGAGAACCTTCTCATCTGGTCTTTTAAGTTATCAGATCCCAATGGGTATTTAGTATCAGCAAAGCCAATGCACCTGTTCATGCTACATCTGCCTCTGTGAGGAGAGGGTTGAAAGGCATTATTATTTAGGCAAAATGGTCTAGGCTTTTATTAAAGTTCAGGCACCTGAGCGTGCTACCTCAGTACTCAATTATCTTAAAGCTTTCTAATTTCATCCACATTTGCATCCTTGGAACAAAATTGTTTACACATTGGCCACGGAGCTTTACTAATAAGGAGTCTGCTGACCATCTGAAAAGAGCAACAGTACTTGCCTGCTACTTCAAGCCCAGGAAAAGCCGAGATGAGAAAGATTTCCCCCAGGATTTTACTCTAGCTACAGAACAGCCCCATTAAACACTGGCCTGTGTATGGCTTAAATAGCCATAACAAACCGTAACAAGCCATATTCTTCTGATCATGTTCTAGAAAGGAGTCAGCTGGAGTCGTCAATGCTGGGACAAGGAATAGAAGTAAAGTAGGTCCAGCTTCCACACATCAGAAAAGATTCCGGAGCTGACAGCAGCTAGGGACTGGGCATGTTAGGTGAGTTGGGAGTAGGTGATGGCGCACAGAAAATATAAAATATCCAATGCAGATAAGACCAATCTTAGCTGTTGCCACACGTTTTACTTTATTCTCTAGATTTATATTTTATTTTATCTAATAGCTATTTACTTCTAAAAGAAAAAAACACACTAGAAATAATCACATATTCTGCTGTTAGAAGATTAAAACAATGTTCATGTGTATGCAGTAGACTTGTGTAGCTATCAGATGCCCTTGTAGAATAATACGTAATGACAAAAACGTATCCATGATATATTCTTTCATCAAAAATGCAGGTTAAGAGTCAACATAATGTAATATTTTTGTACATATAACATATAATTGTGTAAAAATCTTAATATGTGGGAAATAGCACACTTTTAATTGTGAGATTATATGGTTTTTTTTTTCTTACTTAGACTCAAAGAACTTTTGGCTTAAAGAAATAAGCTCTCTTTTATCCCTTGTTTTTGCTTTAAGCAATATATCAATTTTCCTCTAAGAACTCACAACATTGTAGGGAAATCTGACAAATAACATAATAAATATATATTATAATAATAGGGCAAGGGCAACAACACAATCAAGATAATGTGCTCTTCCAGAGAAGACAGGTGGGTCAGAAATAGATTCACCTAGGAAGTGACATTCAAATTGAAATAAATACAGATGTGCTTTGCAAAAGTTAATATATTTATTTAAATATATTTAAACAAAGTTTTTAATATATTCCATTCTGAAGAAAGATCCTTCTGGTGGTCCTCTTCTGAACAAGACACAAATAATTAATAAGTATTTAAAATAACCAATCTTATTCAAGTTTAGTGCTGTAATTCATTAGTAAATTTACAACGCCCACATTAATATTATATTTAAATGCAAAGATGAATTGTCAGGCAATAATAACATGCTATTTGAAACAAAAAATGTAATATTACTTCAGCAAATTAAAATGGTGATATGTGTCAGGTTTATTCTAGAATACATTCATATAGGTGTAAGGTGACAGTACAAATAGGTTGATAGAAATTGTATTAATAAAATCAGGACCAAAAAGACCTGAAAACTTGGAATGGCATTCAAAAGGAGCTGTTTAAAGATTGTTTCTTCCTAGTCCTATTATTTATTTATTTTGTGTATATATAAATAAATATATACGTATATATGACATACTGACACTGAAATTACTATTTAAAAGTAACACATGCTTATAATGAAAATGTCAAAAAAATGAGCATAAGATAAATTTTTAAAACCCTCTGATATTTGCTTTCTGCACCTTGGAGATAACCACTGTTGATAGTTTCTTTGATAATTCTCAGGAATTTTCTATGGATATGCATGCACGAACACAGAAGTGCATGCACACACACACACACACAGAAACACAGGCATGCATGCACAGATTCATCTAACCAAAAATAATTATATAATACATACTTTTATGTAACAGTCGTTGACAGTTAACAATTGCTTAACAGGAAAGAATTATAGAACGCATTCTATAGTAATCCCAATTAGATTGACCTGTTAATTTTTTTTAAGAGCAGCCTTGTATGAATGTGCCATGACACTCTTCCTCTAGTTTTCATGTGGCTTGTGCCTTCCTCCTGTAGTCATACTTCAAATGCCACCTCCTCAAAATTTATCCTTGACCATGCTAATGTAAGCCACCCACTTCCTTCAGCACTTTTCTTAGTTTTGCTTTCTTTTATGGTATGGGCTACAATCTGAATTTGTATATGAATATGTATATAAATATGTATATTTGTTACTCATTCACATGTATGACCCCACTAGAATATAAGCTTTTATCTTGTTCACGGTGGGTTACCAAACCTAGAACTAAGCCTGGCACATAGTGATCAATAATTACTTATTAAGCAAACAATCAAATGTAATTAGTCACTTTTTGGTAAATACTTTTTCTAGTTACCTCAGGATTACAAGTAATATGGAATTAAAATTCCTTTAAAATATTTATATTTCAAATATGTATGTAAAAATCCCCAGGAGTCAATTGACTGGATTAAAGATTATGTACATTTGAAAATGTTAATAACATTGCCTTCTGAAATTCGCAGCTATATATGCTATCAATAGAAGGTAAGAGGGGTTATTCCTTGGTATCCTGGTTAAAATGTACGGTCATCAAATGACTTAATTTTTGCCTGTCTGATAAATAAAAAGTGACAGCTCATTGATTTTTATATCTTCATTGCATTTATTATGATGAAGCTACACATCTTTTCATATTTTTATTCAGTTTTTGTGACCTACATATTTATATACTTTAACTATTTCCCTTTTGAGTTATTACTCTTTTTCTTAGTAATTTGAAAGAGCTATTTGTCCATTAAAGAAATTCTCCCTTAGTTAGCCATGTGAATTAATTAATTTTTCTAGATTTTCTTTTGCATTTGAAAATTTCTTGTAATTCCATACAGGTGATTAAAATTTATGTACACAAAGCTATCAATACCTTCTATGTTATTATACATTTTCTCTTTTTTGTCTTAAATTATTTCATGAGAGTCAAGCTAGGTCCTGAAATTATCATATAGGAATGATACATGTAGATTATGAACAAGTCCATAATCATACCCAGAAATAATAAACATGAAAGTGAAGATGTACAAATTAAAATGAAAATAAAATGAGAGTTATAAGACCTTGGAAGAATTATTTCTGCTTATATTTAAAATAACCCCTTTTTTCTTTGAGAGGGGCTTAGAATTAAGGGAATAAAATTTCATAGTAATTAAAATTTAGTTCATATTTTACAAATGAAATTACTTACAATGTTGTTTTAAAAAGTGTTACTGTTTCTTTAAAAAAACTTACAAGAAAAAGAACTTTAAAACCTGGAATTTTGTTTTGTTTTGTTTTTTGGAGAATTCATGTGCCTTAGAGATGGTACAGGTAATGCACTCAGAACAGTTTTAAGCAAGTAGCGTATTTATATCCCAAGTTAATTCACAAAGGATTTAGAATGGCTTATAAAAACACAACCAACAATATAGTAAAACATAAATAAAATATCAGGACCAGGGAAAATATAAATCAGAAGAAGTGGAACAGACCAAGGGGAAAAGAGAACACAGATAAGCAAACATAAGGTCCAAAGACGATGCTATAATTGAGACATAAATTTGTGTCTGATATCCCTAGAAGTCAAAGAAAAAGGGAAATGTTAGTTAATGCAGTTCTCATTATCTATGAGGAGTAAATGTTCCAGGTCTTTAGAGAAGCAAAGGTATTCCTAGACTATGTATTTAAACCTATTTCTTACATAAGTAAGCAACACCTGATTTTTGACTTGCAACTTAAAATTGTAAATGGAAAACAAGTCATTTGTCACACATGCAGTTGTCTCCAATATTAGTTTAAAAGTTTATTGTTTCCTTTAGACCGCACATGATCTCTCACATTGCCTAGTCATTTATTCTTTCTTGTTTTTGTTTATCTCTCCCAGGGGGCTAGGAACTGCCCAGCCTCAGAGAGCTCATAGGCTAGTAAGGGACACAGAGACCCCATGGATAATTCAGGCCTGAGAGGCACTTACAGGGAGGTTGGAGTTCTAACAGAACTGGAAGATTTTGCTTGCTAAATGGGATTGATTGTAACTGAACTTAAAAGAATTAGTAAAAGTCGTACCAGGCAAAAAAATGGGCAAAGGTCATTTTTATGCTATAAGATTATAAAATGAAGGTAACGATATTACACATTGAAAGCATCCACATTCAAATGGTTTGGTTTTGATCCAATAGGGAGAATTAGTATATTCTATAACTTTTCTTATATGCAATAGGCTCGCAATATTTCCAGAAGATAATCTTGGATAAATTGAATTAATAGCGCTAAGTAGAAAATTGCAGCATATAAAGTTCTATTTTCATAAAAGTGTCTCTATTTTGGTTGCTTTTCCACTGTGAGATTTAGAAACTGATGGTGAAGAGCTTGATGATCCAGATCTAGAAGACCTCTAAAGAAACACTCCACCAACTATTGGCCATATCGCCAATTTCATTGTCTTCATTACAATTATGAACTGAAGTTCTCTTGAGTTGTTGATTGTTTGTCTCCTACAAAATCACACTTAACCAAGGCAGAAATTTACAACAGTTCTCAACCTAGTTCAATAATTATGTGTTGACCAACTAGATGGATTCACAGGTCCAGGACATAAACTTAAGTAGACAATTTTAAAAAGAGAAAGGAGACAATGTCAGAAGTCAGCATAGGAACAGGAGATGCCATGTCCCCTGTCAGGTACTTATCACTAAAATGTTATTATTATGGCTACCTTCTATAACTGCAGTGTAAGAGATTTAAAAGCTGTGCATTCTTTTGCTACCTATTTAGATTCTCTGATTTTGCCTATGACTTATGTCTTGAAAGTCAGAGCAGTGAATTATATTTCTGTGCTGGAGGAAACAATCAATGCTGGAACACTCTTTTCTCTGGCCCCTACAATTTCTGGGAGCAGATAACCAGAAAATGAAGATAAGCATGTCTTAGTTTGTTGAGAACAACCATGTATAAGAGGTAGCATGTTAATCTGGTATTTGCCAGTAGAGGGGGGAAAAAAAGAAAAACAAAAACCAAACTTTGCACTTAGAAGTAACTTAAAAGTTGCAGCATTGGTCTCAATCAACTGTTTAATAATGTAAGGAAGCTTCTATGAAGTCATGATTCATAGGTATTCAAGCAGAAATGAGACATCTGGCATGTGGACAGGGACTTTTCTCCAGTCAGAGAGTCTGGGCTGCACCTGAGCTATAGTGTGTTCACAGGTTGGGGGTAAGTGACAAAAAGCAGATTAGCCTATTAATCTATTTGCAAATTAATTGTGGCTTAGGGCCAACCGGGCCTGGTTAATACATAGCAGCTCAGTGCACAAATTAATTAAAAAACATATGTTATTCACAAATTCATTCTTTTCATGTATTGCTTACTAGTATGAAAGATATGCCAGTGTCATGATTAAAAACTCACCAACTTAGTACATGCTGGTATCTTTGGCTTCAGAATCCATAGGTAAGGATCTTGCAGCATCTTGCTAGTCATAGTTTTAATGCTTAACATCTCATAAGTCATTCTATGTAGGGAACAGCTCCCAGAGTCCTGGTAATTTTGAACATGTCCACATAGATTGTGTGGGAAAGGCTTGACAGCATTGTAACCATCTTTGCAGATTGCCTTATAATTTCTCTTGAGCACAGAAAAACAATCCACCTGATGAGGAGTTGTCACAAGACCATGCTACTTCTCCTATCTTGGGGAAACTACCACTAGGCTGTTTCTAGTCCATCTTACTAGTTTCAGTTGAGCAACAGACTTTCTACCTTACCCTCTGTTAGGGTACAACTGCAGGCTTTAAACTATCTGGCTGTAGGTTAACATTGACTCTCTGGTGTTAGAGCTGCCCAGCACCCATGCTGCCTGTCATGCAACCTCTGTAACTTGGTGTGTTCATGTGGGACTAGGATGAAGGGAGGTGACAGCACACTGATTTTGCTGTTGCTGTCTGTGAAAGTAATAAACTGTCTGAATTCATTTGGTCATATTTTCTCCTACTGGCTGGATTGATGGAAGTGTGGGAAGGCAATCCAGCAGCTGTAGTCCTTGAGCCCCTGGTAGTCACCATGCAGCTGCCTCATGCCTACTTCATTGCTTGATATTTTACACTCAGCAAGAGTGTAAAAAAAAGGGGCTCCAGCCCCTTTCCCTTATGCCTGCTTGGACTTGATAACCAGGCTCTGAACTGTACACTTTTTGAATGTTGTGAAAATTAAACTGGATAACTGGATGCTCCATTATGCAATACATACCCCTGATGCACCCCCTTCCCACCTGGATATTATAAGATGGCCCTCTGACCTTGCACTACACCTTAGAGAAAAGGTAGGAAAGCTTGTTGCAAAAAAAACAATCTTTCTTTGATATCAGAGTTACTGCCTGGAATAGTGGTACATATATGCATGGAGATAATTTATATTATTTTCCATCAGTCTCTTCTTGAATTTAATAAATTTGACTGCTATTGGGTTTTGTGTACATATAAATCATTGATAATTTAGTTTCTCTTGCTTTGGTATCATAATGAAATGCACTATAATTTTCAAAGATCTGCCCCTTCAAACAGCATAGTAGTTCTTATATATCTTTACAATTGTTGCAACATGGGAAATTAACAAATTTACCACAGAGCTTAAATTATATAAAAGTATATCATATTTGTAAATACTAGAGCTTTAAAATTCTGTATTTTGATAATGTTCAAAGACTAACAATCTTCCTTAATAAATATTTCGTTGTTCTTTTTAATTCACTGAGTGTGAAAAAAGTATATAAGGTGGCCATTTTGCAATCACTACATTTGTAGTTCACAGCAAAAGAAAGAAAAGAGCAGTATATTATGCCAGACAGGCTGTCCTGGCAGCACCTTGACAGGTGTGAAAAAGGAATATAACAAGCACCTAAGATTGTTTATAGCTAAACCAAAATCACCGTAGCAACCATTCTTCAAGAATATTGTCAGGTATTTTGTTAGAAAATATTTATATCTCTTTATGATTAAAATAGTTATATATGAATATGTAAATAAAATAGAGATCATAATTATATCATTAAGTATGCAAAATGGTTAAATAAATTACATTCATAAGCTATGATATTTAATCATTATATAGTGTGTATATAAAATGTAATTATATAACAATATCTATTTTATATATGATAAAGCAGTATGTACTAAATACAGTATGATTCAAATATATATTTTATCTATAGATATGAGTGCATATGTATACAGTAAAGGCTATAGAAAGATTTCTAGCTATTACTAGCTCTTAATTGTACTATCTTGGGAAGAGAATACTAAGAAGTGAGTGATATTTTCCATTTTTGTTTGGTTTTCTTTTCCAGCTTTCTCCCAACACACATATATTATGCATATTGGTCACAATTTTTTAAAATTTATGTAGAGATAAATAATTATTTTCTCTTCTCTCCTCCCTTTCCTCTTCCTCCTTCTTTTCCTTTTTCTTCTTCTTCCTCTTTTTTTTTGGTATAGCATTTTTTTTTTTTTTTTTTTTTTTGAGACGGAGTCTCGCTCTGTCGCCCAGGCCGGACTGCGGACTGCAGTGGCGCAATCTCGGCTCACTGCAAGCTCCGCTTCCCGGGTTCACGCCATTCTCCTGCCTCAGCCTCCCGAGTAGCTGGGACTACAGGCGCCCGCCACCGCGCCCGGCTAATTTTTTGTATTTTTAGTAGAGACGGGGTTTCACCTTGTTAGCCAGGATGGTCTCGATCTCCTGACCTCATGATCCACCCGCCTCGGCCTCCCAAAGTGCTGGGATTACAGGCGTGAGCCACCGCGCCCGGCCTGGTATAGCATTTTATGAATTTTAACACATTCATAGAATCTGGTAATCACCTTCACCAAAAGAATACAGACTAATTCCAACATCCCCCCAAATTCCCTCATTTAAACCCTTGTAGTCACATCCACTTCCTCCCTCTAATTTCTGGTAGCCACAAATGTGTTCTCTATCCGTGTAGTTTTGCCATAGGTATTCTGGAAACGTATTTTTATCTTAAATGTTTTCTGGTTGTTTTATATTAGATGTTTTCTTATTGTTTTATCTTAAAGATTTTTTTATTGTTTCAAATTAAGAAATGAGGTTTCTGAAGAATTATTTGTCTACCAAATGATTGTTTGCTAAGAAGTGATTCCTGGATTCAGAGTTACTTATTCAATGAGCATGCTCTTTAATTATTTCCTACATATTTCAAATTGTTTTCCAGGGATGTTGCACCAACTTTGCCACTACAGTTAGTATATAAGGTTTTTTCATCTAAGAAAATACTTTGCTATCATGGATTGAAAATATGATAGGTGAAAAATGACATTTAACTTACTTGATTTTTTCATTACCAAGTTGTTGGATATTTTCTAAACACATTGTTAGTCACATGCATTTTTTTTTCTATGAACATCCATAACCTTTGCTCATATTTTTGGGGATAGTAGTGACACTTTAAATTATTACTTTGCAGAAATTTTTAGAAAGTAAGGATATCAACTCTTTTCCTGTTTTATTTGTGGAAAAATGCTTACCAGTTTATTTCTCTTTCTATTTTTATAGTTATTTTTTAATATATTGAACCATTATACTTTTTTTTAAGAGAGATCTCCCCTACCTCAAAGTTAGTTGAATTCCATAATTTCTATGGGAGAGTAAAATGTAGGTTGTTTAGTATTTGCAAAACCTGATGTGATCCTAGCCCTAGTTCTGGCCAATGATATCTGGTAGAAAGTCTGTTGCAAGGATTTCTAGGAAGACTTTTGCTTTCCTAAGAAAAAGATCAGATAGAAATAGTCCTACCTTTTGCCCATTCCTATTGAATGTGGATGCAATGCATGAAGGCTCAACAGCTATCTCTTGATGAATGTTACCACCACAAGCATTAGAATCAAAACTACAAAATGAGTGGGTAGATTGTAAGCTACCTGAAGCCAGGTCTCTGACATCAGTGGCACTATAGCCTAATGCTTGAATTTTTTCTTTTACAAAACAAAAAAACTCCTATTTAGTCAAACTACTGAAAGTTGGGTTTTCTTATATTTTAAACTTTATGCAGTCCTAATAGCTACATTATGCTTGGAGACTCTTTCTATACCAAGGCTGCTTTACTTGTAATGATAATAAATACATTCCTCATACATTCTTTCTTTCAGCAATTACATTTCAAGCACTGACTTTATGCTCAGGAAGCACTGATTTGCTTACTATACAACTCAACTACCCATTTGCCAATTATTTTCCAAGATGGGGCAAAGTGTAGAAAGTTGTTGG
This sequence comes from Homo sapiens, assembly GCF_000001405.40. NCBI lineage: Eukaryota > Metazoa > Chordata > Mammalia > Primates > Hominidae > Homo > Homo sapiens. The sequence continues at coordinate 62,503,195 of NC_000006.12, read as the reverse complement.
AGTTACTAACATACTTTAAGTTCTTCAAAAATATTATGATATATAGCAGAGAGATGAATGCAGTATTTTCTGGGCTTGGGTTAAGGATCAGAAAATAGGTAATTCATTATGTATCTTGCTATCTTCATTCAGAGAGTTAGGATAGTTTGTTGACATGAAGTAATGCATATGTGGTCTCCGGTAATTTTCTCAATCCAGTATCTTTGCTATTAAAAGCGATGAAAATTCTTCCTGGGTTCTGAGAATAGGCCATCAGTCATGGTTTTTGGTGTTGTAATTTTTTTATAGCTCACCATTTTTCATGTCATCTCTCAATTTTCATAGCAACTCACAAGAAACTATCTCAGGAGCTACTAGGTAATACTATTTAAAACCTGAAATTCTTATTATTGGAACACTTGATGCAATTGTCTTCTAGTCATTAATTGTTTGCTGATAAATTATGCATCTATGTTTTAGTGAATGGAAACTCCTTCTAGAAATTGGAACATTTTTCTAGTGTTGCAGGCTTTGCACCCTATTGTGCATTGAGGGAAGAAGAGTAAAAAATTATAAATCTAGCATAGCCAGTTAACTTTCATTCTAACCAATAATTTTCTTTAAAAAATTATAATTTGGTTAATAGCTTAAAATACTGTAATTAACTTTTAGATTTTTCTTAAAAGTATATGGTGTCTTAGTCCTTTCAGCTGCTGTAACAAAATACCGTAGATTGGGTAGCTTATAAATAATGGAAATTTACTTTTCACCCTTCTAGAGACTGGGAAATCCAAAATCAAGGCTCCAGCAGATTTGGTGCCTGCTGAAGGCTGGTCTCCTGGCTCGTGAATAGTGCCTTCTCTGTATTCCTCACATGGTAGAAGGGGCGAGGGATCTCTTAGGCCTCTTTTTAAAGGCACTAATATCATTCATAAGAACTCAACCACCATGACCTAATAATTTCCCAAAGGTCCCTTCTCTTAACATTATCACCTTGGGCATGAGGATGTCAACATATGAATTTTAGGAGGAGCATCAATATTTAGACAATAGCAATTACAGTGCCAACTCCTCTAAAGACAGTCAATAAAATCTCCAGTAACTGAAAATATTAGTGGCATAGCACTAATATTTCTGATGTTTCTATCATGTTGGTTACCTGAAGAATTGGTTTCTGAAGAAACCAAATAATTGTGTCATGTTCTTGGCAATGGCAAAGCTGCATTAGGCTTTCAATGGCTACTCATTACAAAGTACATTTTTTTGAAATGAGATGATTCAGACTTTATTTGTTATAGTACTACGCATGGCATAAAAGCATAACCTAGGTTTAATAGGCTGAATAATAGCCCACCAAGATATCCAGGTCTGAATTCCTGGGACCTATGAATATTACCTTATACAGTAACAGAGATTTGGCAGATATAGTTAAAACAAAGATCTTAAGATAGGGATATTAGCTTGGAATATCTAGGCGGACGTGATGTAATCACAGGGACCCTTATAAGAGGAAAGCATGGAATCAAAGGGACAGAAGGTGATTTGAAGGAAGAAACAGAAGGAGATCTGATACACTGCACTGCTAGCTTTGAAGAGGAAGGAAGGTGCCATAGTCCAACGAATGCAAGGAATCCAGCTCTAAAAGCGAAAAAGGCATAAAGGCTTATTCTCCCCTATGGCCTCCAGATGGAGGGAGTGTGACCATGCTGACACCAGAGTCTTGTCTTGGTAAAACCTATTTCAGGCTTCCTACTTCCATAACTGTTAGACAATAAAATTGTGTTGCTTTATGCCATTAAGTCTGTGGTAATTTGTTACGGCAGCAATAGGCAACTATTATATTAGGCAAAAATTATTTCTATTGTATTAGAATGTTTCAGGAAAAAAAAATGAGTGCTGAGGGACAGAAAGTCTGTGTAATAAAAATGAATTACTAGGGTGGATATAGAAAACACCTACCAATGGGAATTAAGTCTAGATATTCATTAAACAAACACTGTAGAACTTGGAAGAAATAAAAAGGAATGGTAGTGAGTAAAAATATGACGTTACGCATAAAACTATCTGGTATAATGCTAGTCGCACAAAGACTTTTTAATCATCTTCTTTTTCTCCAATAAACATTCCATCACCATTTTTTAGTACCACCCCTTCGTCTCTCAGAGTACTTAGGTGTCCACTACAATACAGGTATTCAGGAAATGTTAGTCTCTTTCACTCTAGTTATAGATTCTGAATTTATTCTCCTGTTATAAGTAATATCTCTTAGTTTCAATTTGAAACAAATTGCTTAGGTAACCTTGGATATGCTTTACGCAAATCAATTGACATCTTGCTTGTCACTGGTATTAATAGTTTGCACTAGCAGTTATTTCCAAGAGAAGTATCATCATGGAAATTGGTGTTGTCAATTTGTCAGAGATTTTCAGGTTTTTTGCTTATTCATTGGATTTAAGTTCAGTATAAAGTGGGGAACGGTACATGCCTGTAGTCTTTGCAACAATAAATTCTAAAAGTTATCTTATGTGTTTTCCCAAATCTTGTTATAAATAACTCTCAAATTATAACTTTCTATCAGATAATTCAAGACCAAATGGGTGATGACAAATTTTAACTGCAAAATTATACCATGCCAACATTAGAGAAATGAAAGTGTCTTAAATACAAACACATTTAGCGTTGACCATCCTGTCATTTTTCTGTAGTTCTCTGGGTGTAGTATTTTATAAATGTAATTCTAGGGTGGTTTTATGATATTAAAATTTGTAATGTTTTTTCTGCAGAAGAATAGTTTATTTCTTTTTAAATATATTTACCCTTGCTTTTTATGAATATGTGAAAAATAATTGCATTCTTTGCATTGTTTTTATCATTTATTTTATTTTTTTAAAAACTCTAATATTTGTTTTTGTTTTTGGTCATAAATAAGATTGAGTATCTTTATTTCCCTGAAGAAAATGGGAACATTAGATATTTTTCAGTTGTTTCTATTACTAACAACTCATATCTCTGAAGAAAGCAAGATTCATTTTGTTACGATAGTCTTATGAAGCTACTTCAAGTGACAGATTGTGAAACCAAAATGGTATCAAAAATGTGCTTGGATGGGAGGTTTCAGATTATTAGGAATGTTTGTAACAGGGAGATAATTTGCTGATGGGATGAGACTGTCCACTGAGTCCACACAATCGTAAATTGATAAAACAACTGAACTATCTTGAATTTTTATTGCTTTATCTTAGATTGTATTTCACATGTTTATTTAACTTTGAAAAGAAGTTTGAAGAGAAGATCAAAGTATTGCAACACAGAATTTGTAAGACAAAATAAACAAATTTGAATTCTTTCTAGCATCTCGGATTTGCAGAAGAGAAACTGTTACCAATGAGACATATCTTTCATTCCTTTCTGCAAATCTTTCTCAACTCTATTAGTTTCTCAAGCACTCTACAAAAATAGGCAAATTATTCTGTCTAATTCAGAGGACAAACAAATTACAATAGACAAGAGTTGTCTCCATTTTCCAATTCCCTAATGTATTTCACAGGAGTTACTATCATGTGCTCAATACTCCTTTTAGCTCATTCCTTACTAACTAACCCCTCCTACCCTGAACACATGGTCAGGCCATCACTACTGCTTTCACACTCTGGCCATCCTCTAGACACGATGCTTATGTGAGGTGCAGAGTTTGGACAGTAGGTCAGTCTTCCCTAGGGATTTCCACAGTATATTTGGTGGAAGAGATATCTATTTTTTGTTGTTGCAAAAATGTTTGCAATTATTGTTGTCTCTGACCATTATCCCTGCTTCATAGAGAAACTAAAGCTAGAGCATGGAGTGAAACTACAGAAAGGAACAAACAGAAGAGATCAGGAAAATCCTAATTGCATTCGAGTCCCTGGTTTAAGTTGCTCTTAATTGAATGTCTTAGGCCATATTTGAAGAATTATGATGAACTGAAATACAAGATAGAAAAAATCCGGCTACTTGTGCAAGGATACAAGATAGAAAAAGTCCTGCTACTTGTGCAAGGCTCTTCTTGCTAACCTTGAGGCCAGCTTTTTCACTTGCCTGTGCTTTGAATCCAAGAGATGATACATTCTCCATTAAGCCTTATCTCATTGAAATTGAATTTCTATCACTGTTACTTAAGATTTCTGAAAAATAAAACTACTAACACGTGTCTTTCTATCCACTCATTTTTAAATTGTCTACTCAGATTAATTACTTCATATTTCTAACATCTGAGACTCGGAGCATATCACTCCTTTCATCTAGAATTCACTTTTTGAAAATACCTTCCATTTGCCTTAAAGCATCCAAACATCTTAAGATACAATTTTGGTATCAAAATAGTAAATTTAAAATGAAGTTTTATTTCTGATTCTCCTACTTCCAAAGTAATTTCTCCATGTTCTTATAGCTGCCCATTTCTTTCAAACTAGAACATACTTCATTCCTCATCTTAATTTCTCATACCACCCCCAGAAACCATATCTTTTTCACTTTTATTCAATTCCCTCTCAAAAATTCTTCTCAACATTTTTTTAAATGTTAAGGTATGAGAAAACTGATTCTCAGATATAGTGTTGTTAGTAACAGTGGTGTTCTTAGATTAAAAGCGATCCAGTGGGGTGGGAGATGATGGAGAGAGGTTGACCAACAGGTAGAAAGTTACAGTTGGATAAGAGGAATAAATTTGGGTATTCTCTTGCAGCACAGCAGGATGACTAGTTAACAGTAAGGAATTGTATATTATAAAATAGCTAGAAGAGAGGTTTCTGAATGTTCTCACCTCAAAAAAAAGATAAATGCATGAGGTGATGGATAGACTAACTACCCTGATTTGAACTTTATATAATGTATGTGTATATTGAAACATCACATTGTATGCCATAAACACATACAATTATCTCAATGTTAAAATTTTTTTAATGTAAAAAAATCCAGCTTATATGCATAGGCTGTTAAGATCTATGAGTAGAAATTTATATATTAACCAAAAAATGGTGGTGATTTTATGGGCTTTTTTTATTATGATACTTTAAGTTCTGGGATACATGTGCAGAATATGCATGTTTGTTACATAGATATACATGTGCCATGGTGGTTTGCTGCACCCATCAACCCGTCATCTACATTAGGTATTTCTCCTAATGCTATCCCTCCTGTTTCTCCCCACCCCCCAACAGGACCCAGTGTGTGATGTTCCCCTCCCTGTGCCCATATGTTCTCATTGTACAACTCCCACTTATGAGGGGGAACATGCGTTGTTTGGTTTTCTGTTCCTGTGTTAGTTTTCTGAGAATGATGGTATCCAGCTTCATCCATGTCCCTGCAAAGGACATGAACTCATTATATTTTTATGGCTGCATAGTATTTCATGGTATATATGTGCCACATTTTCTTTATCCAGTCTATTATTGATGGGCATTTGTGTTGGTTCCAAGTCTTTGCTATTGTGAATAGCGCTGCAGTGAACATAGGTGTGCATGTGTCTTTATAGCAGAATGATTTATAATCCTTTGGGTATATACCCAGTAATGGGATTGCTGGGTCAAATGGTATTTATAGTTCTAGGTTCTTGAGGAATCGCCACACTATCTTCCACAATGGTTGAACTAATTTACACTCCCACCAACAGTGTAAAATTGGTTCCTATTTCTCCATATCCTCTCCAGCATCTGTTATTTCCTGACTTTTTAATGATCACCATTCTAACTGGCATGAGATGGTATCACTTTGTGGTTTTGATTTGCATTTTTCTAATGACCAGTGATGATGAGCTTTCTTTCATATGTTTTTTGGCTGCATAAATGTCTTCTTTTGAGAAGTGTCAGTTCATCTCCTTCTCCCACTTTTTGATTAAGTTGTTGGTTTTTTTTTTTTTTTTTGGTAGATTTGTTTAAAAGTTCCTTGTAGATTCTGGATTAGCCCTTTGTCAGATGGATAGATTGCAAAAATTTTCTCCCATTCTGTAGGCTGTCTGTTCACTCTGATGATAGTTTCTTTTGCTGTGCAGAAGCTCTTTAGTTTAATTATATCTCATTCGTCAATTTTGGTTTTTGTTGCCATTGCTTTTGGTGTTTTAGTCATGAAGTCTTTGCCCATGCCTATATCTTGAATGGTATTACCTAGGTTTTCTTCTAGGGTTTTCATGATTTTAGGTCTTACATTTAAATCTTTAATCCATCTTGAAATAATTTTTGTATAAGGTATAAGGAAGGGGTCGAGTTTCAGTTTTCTGCATATGGCTAGCCAGTTTTCCCAACACCATTTATTAAGTAGGGAATCCTTACCCTATTTCTTGTTTTTGTCAGGTTTGTGAAAGATCAGATGGTTGTAGATGTGTGGTGTTATTTCTGAGGCCTCTGTTCTGTTCCACTGGTTTATATATCTGTTTTGGTACCAGTACTATGCTGTTTTGGTTACTGTAGCCTTGTAGTATAGTTTGAAGTCAGGTAGCGTGATGCCTCCAGCTTTGTTCTTTTTGCTTAGGATTGTCTTGGCTGTGTGGGCTATTTTTTGGTTCCATATGAAATTTAATGTATTTTTTTTTCTAATTCTTTGAAGAAAGTCAATGGTGGTTGATGGGAATGGTAGGAATGTATAAATTACTTTGGGTAGTATGGCCATTTTCATGACATTGATTCTTTCTATCCATGGGCAAGGAATGTTTTCCATTTGTTTGTGTCATCTCTTATTTCTTTGAGCAGTGGTTTGTATTTCTCCTTGAAGAGGTCCTTCACATCCCTTGTAAGTTGTATTCCTAGGTATTTTATTCTCTTTGTAGCAATTGTGAATGGGATTTTTTCTCATGATTTGGCTCTCCATTTGTCTATTATTGATGTATAGGAATGCTTGTGATTTTTGCACATTGATTTTGTATCCTGAGACTTTGCTGAAGTGACTCATCAGTTTAAGGAGTTTTTGGGCTGAGATGATCAGGTTTTCTAAATATACAATTATGTCATCTGCAAACAGAGATAATTTGACTTCCTCTCTTTCTATTTGAATACTCTTTATTTTTTTCTCTTGCCTGATGGCCCTGGCCAGAACTTCCAATACTATGTTGAATAGGAGTGGTGAGAGAGGACATCCTTGTCTTCTGCCAGTTTTCAAAGAAAATGCTTCCAGCTTTGTCCATTCAGTATGATATTGGCTGCGGGTTTGTCACAAATAGCTCTTATTATTTTGCGATATGTTCCTTCAATAGCTAGTTTATTGAGTGCTTTCAGCATGAAATGGTGTTGAACTTTATTGAAGGCCATTTCTACATCTATTGAGATAATCATGTGGTTTTTGTCTTTGGTTCTGTTCATGTGATGGATTACGTTTATTTATTTGCTTATGTTGAACCAGCCTTGCATCCCAGGGTTGAAGCTGACTTGATCATGGTGGATAAGCTTTTAATGTGCTGCTGAATTCAGTTTGCCAATATTTTACTGAGGATTTTCGCATCAATGTTCATCAGGGATATTGGACTGAAATTTTCTTTTTTTGTTGTGTCTCTGGCAGGTTTTGGTATCAGGATGATGCTGGCCTCATAAAATGAGTCAAGGAGAAGTCCCTCCTTTTCTATTGCTTAGAATAATTTCAGAAGAAATGATACCAGTTCCTTTTTGTGCATCTGGTAAAATTTGGCTGTGAATCCATCTGGTCCTGGGCTTCTTTTTTGGTTGGTAGGCTATTAATTACTGCCTCAATTTCAGAACTTGTTATTGGTCTATTCAGGGATTCGACTTCTTCCTGGTTTAGTCTTGGGAGGGTATATGTGTCCAGGAATGTATCAATTTCTTCTAGATTTTTTAGTTTATTTGTGTGGAGGTGTTTATTGTATTCTCTGATTTCTGTGGGATCAGTGGTGATCTCCCTTTATCATTTTTAATTGTGTCTATTGGATTCTTCTCTCTCTTCTTCTTTATTAGTCTGGCTAGTGGTCTATTTTGTTAATCTTTTCAAAAAAAACCCAGCTCCTGGATTCATTGATTTTTTTGAAGAGTTTTTCGTGTTTCTATCTCCTTCAGTTCTCCTCTGATCTTAGTTATTTCTTGTCTTCTGCTAGCTTTTGAATTTGTTTGCTCTTGCTTCTCTAGTTCTTTTAATTGTGATGTTATGGTGTCCATTTTAGTTCTGTCTTTCTTTCTCCTGTGGGCATTTAGTGCTATAAATTTCCCTCTAAACACTGCATTAGCTGTGTCCCAGAGATTCTGGTATATTGTGTCTTTGTTCTCCTCAGCTTCAAAGAACTTATTTATTTATCCTTTAATTTCATTATTTACCCAGTAGTCATTCAGGAGAAGGTTGTTCAGTTTCCATGGAGTTGTAAGGTTTTGAGTGAGTTTCTTAATCCTGAGTTCTCATTTATTGGCACTTTGGTCTGAGAGACTGTTTGTTATGATTTCCCTTCTTTTGCCTTTGCTGATGAGTGTTCTAGTTCAAATTATGTGGTCGATTTTAGAACGAGTGCTATGTGGGGCTGAGAAGAATGTATATGATGTTGATTTGGGGTGGAGAGTTCTGTAGACGTCTATTAAGTCTGCTTGGTCCAGAGCTGTGTTCAACTCCTGAGTATTCTTGTTAATTTTTTGTCTCGTTGATCTAATATTGACAATGGGGTGTTAACGCCTCCTACTATTGTTGTGTGGGAGTCTGAGTCTCTTTGTAGGTCTCTAAGAAGTTGCTTTATGAATCCGGGTGTTCCTGTGTTGGGTGCGTATATATTTACATTAGTTAGATCTTCTTGCTGCATGGATCCCTTTACTATTATGTAATGCCATTCTTTGTCTTTTTTGATCTTTGTTGGTTGGAAGTCTATTTTATAAGAGACTAGGATTGTTACCCCTGCTTTTTTTTTTTTTTTTTTTTTGCTTTCTATTTGCTTGTTAAATCTTCCTCCATCCCTTTATTTTGACCCTATGTGTATCTTTGCACATGAGATGTGCCTCCTGATTGCAGCACACTGATGGGTCTTGACTCTTTATCGAATTTGCCAGTCTGTCTCTTTTAATTGGAACACTTAGCCCATTTACATTTAAGGTTAATATCATTATGTGTGAATTTGATCATGACATTATGATTCTAACTGGTTATTTTGCCCATTAGTTGATACAGTTTCTTCATAGTGTCAATGGCCTTTACATTTTGGGTTGTTTTTGCAGTGGCTGGTACCGGTTTTTCCTTTCCATATTTAGTGCTTCTTTCAGGAGCTTTTGTAAGGCAGGCCTGGTTGTGACAAAATCCCTCAGCATTTGCTTGTCTGTAAAGGATTTTATTTCTCATTCACTTACGAAGCTTAGTTTGGCTGGAATTCTGGGTTGAGAATTCTTTTCTTTAAGAATGTTGAATATTGACCCCCCACTCTCTTCTGGCTTGTAGGGTTTCTGCAGAGAGATCTGCTGTTAGTCTCATGGGCTTCCCTTTGTGGGTAGCCCCCACATTTCTCTCTGGTTGCCTTTAGCATTTTTTCCTTCATTTCAACCTCGGTGAATCTGACAATTATGTGTCTTGGGGTTGCTCTTCTCAACGAGTATCTTTGTAGTGTTCTCTGTATTTCCTGAATTTGAATTTTGGCCTGTATTTCTAGGTTGGGGAAGTTCTCCTGGATAATAAACTGAAGAGTGTTTTCTAACTTGGTTCCATTCTCCCCATCACTTTCAGGTACACCAATCAAACATACATTTGGTCTTTTCACATAGTCCCATATTTCTTGGAGGCTTTGTTCATTCCTTTTCATCTTTTTTCTCTAATCTTGTCTTCATGCTTTATTTCATTAAGTTGATCTTCAATCTCTGATGTCCTTTCTTCAGCTTGATCAATTCGGCTATTGATACTTGTGTATGCTTCACGAAGTTCTTGTGCTGTGGTTTTCAGCTCCATCAGGTCATTTATGTTCTTCTTTAAACTGATTATTCTAGTTAGCAATTCCTCTAACCTTTTATCAAGGTTCTTAACTTCCTTTCATTGGGTTAGAAAATACTCCTTTAGCTCAGAGGAGTTTGTTATTACTCACCTTCTGAAGCCTACTTCTGTCAATTCATCAAACTCATTCTCTGTCCAGTTTTGTTCCCTTGGTGGCAAGGAGTTGTGATCCTTTGGAGTAGAAGAAGCATTCTGGTTTTGGAATTTTCAGCCTTTATGCCCTGGTTTTTCCTTATCTTCATGGATTTACCTACCCTTGGTCTTTGCTGTGACCTTCAGATGGAGTTTTTGTGTGGTCATCCTTTTTGTGGATGTTCATGCTATTACTTTCTGTTTGTTAGTTTTCCTTCTAACAGTCAGGCCCCTCTTCCGCAGGTCTGCTAGAGTTTGCTGGGGGTCCACTCCAGACTGTGTTTGGCTGTGTATCACCAGTGGAGGCTGCAGAAGAACAAAGATTGCTGCCTGCTCCTTCCTCTGGAAGCTTCATCCCTGAGGGGCACCCACCAGATGCCAGCTGGAGCTCTCCTGTATGAGGTGTCGGTCAACCCCTGCTGGGAGGTGTCTCCCCTTCAGGAGGCACTGGGGTCAGGGGCCCACTTGAGGAGGCAGTGTGTCTCTTGGCAGACCCGGAGCGCTATTCTGGGAGATCAACTGCTCTCTTCAGAGCTGACAGGCAGGAACGTTTAAGTCTGCTGAAGCTGTGCCCACAGCTGTCCTTTCCCCCCGGTGCTCTGTCCCAGAGAGATGGGAGTTTTGTCTATAAGCTCCTGACTGGGGCTGCTGCCTTACTTTCAGAGATGCCCTGCTAATAGAGGAGGAATCTAGAGAGGCAGTCTGGCTACAACACCTTTGCGGAGCTGCGGGTGGCCTCTACCCAGTCCAAACTTCCTGGTGGCTTTGTTTACACTGTGAGCGGAAAACCACCTACTCAAGCCTCAGTAATGGCGGATGCGCCTCCCCCCACCAAGCTGGAGTGTCCCAGGTTGACTTCAGACTGCTGTGCTGCCAGCAAGAATTTCAAGCCGGTGGATTTTAGCTTGCTGGGCTCTGTGGGGGTGAGATCCAGTAAGCAAGATCACCTGGCTCCCTGGCTTCAGCCCCCTTTCCAGAGGAGTGAACAGTTCTGTCTTGCTGGCATTCCAGGTGCCACTGGGATATGAAAAAATAACTCCTGTAGTTAGCTCAGTGTCTGCCCAAACAACGGCCCAGTTTTGTGCTTGAAACCCAGGGCCCTTGGTGTAGGCACCCAAGGGAATCTCCTGGTCTGTGGGTTGTGAATACCATGGGAAAAGCATAGTATCTGGGCTGGATAGCACCATCCCTCATGACAAAGTCCCTCGGGGCTTCCCTTGCCTAGGGGAAGGAGTTTCCTGACCCCTTGCACTTCCTGGGTGAGGCGACACCCCACCCTGCTTCTGCTTGCACTCTGTGTGCTGCACCCACTGTCTAACCAGTTCCAGTGAGATGAACCAGGTACCTCAGTTGGAAATGCAGAAATCACCTGCCTTCTGCGCTGGTCTCCCTGAGAGCTGCAGACCGGAGTTGTTCCTATTCGGCCATCTTGCCCGGGAATCAATTTTATGGGCTTTTAGATTCCTGCCATGCTTGGATTACTTAAATCACTTACTGTATAAAATATACAAATTATATTGTGATTCATCAGGCATCTCATAACAGAATAGTCTTTAGATAAAGTCAATGATATCTGAAATATTTGTAGATGTTGTAAAAATCACAACCGAATTAGTATGTAGGCAATGGGTTTTTTGGGTTTGGTTTGTTTGTTTACTTTTTGAGTCAGGGTCTCACTCTGTCACACAGGCTGCAGTGCAGTAGCATGATCTCAACTCACTGTAGCCTCAATCTCCCAGACTCAGGTGATCCTCCCACCTCAGCCTGCCCAGTAGCTGAGACCATAGATGCACACCATCATATCCGGCTAATTTTTGTATTTTTTGTAGACACAGGGTTTTGCCATTTTGCTCATGCTGGTCTCAAACTCCTAAGCTCATGTAATCCAGCCTTCTTAGCCTCCCAAAGTGCTGGGATTCTAGGCGTGAGCCACCACTCCTGACATATGGCAATGGTTTTATATATTTGTGGTTATCTTTCTAAAATACAATCATGATTGTGATAACCCACAACCTTAAACCCTTAAATGGATTTCTGGCGGCTTTGAGATGTAATAAAGATACCTATTTCTTCTTTTCCTGTCTGACTCTAATGAATGACAGGAATGATAAATAGAAATCTATCTTGATGGCAAGAAAAAAAACATATCCAGATATAGATATACTTCACTTCGTAATATAAGATAAAGCAAGGATGAGATGAATGCCTGCTGCTGGTGATTTCAGGCAGAAATCTTGGGATAGTGGCTTCTCAAAGACATAGGGCCATCCTGAAGGGCAAAATCAAAGATCCCTTACTTGGAAAAGCAGATTTATTTCAATGATGACAACTGCTGCTATAATTTTCCTCATTTATTTCATAGAAAACATTGTAAAGGAAGCAGAAGTGACATGAAATTTTCCATCTTTGCAACTGTGTGGCAGAGTGGAAGAAAATCTACAGATAAGATGTAGTTTTCACGTAAGTAAATGTGGGTGTTGGGGAAAAGATGTGTGTTGTTTACATCTTGAAAAGCAAGCAAATGGTATGTCTGTGTATAAATGTAAGAAGGTACCCTCGAAGAGAAACAAGAATTATGCAATCAACAACATAATGTGGAATAATGGAGGTTACAAAAGTGGAAGAAAATCGATGTATAATAAACTCAGTAAACCTTGCAGAGGGAAATGAATAAGCAATGGTAGAGAAATAAATTCATTTCACTAAATAAATCATAGTTATAAACCACCATAATGACTTTAAAAGAGTATAAAGTTTTAAAATTATCACAAGTAAACAAAAACAATAAAGGAAGCACAGACCTTATTGAGAAATAAATAAAACATGAATGCTAGAAAAGAATAACATAAATTAAGATGGAAAAACTAAGACCAAGCATTCACTTCATCTCCATAAATGAGATTTGCTTGTCTATTTTTTTTAAGACAGGGTCTTGCTCTCTCACCCAGGAGTGCAGTGGCGTGATCATGGCTCACTATAAGCTCAACATCCTGGGCTTAAGCAATCCTCTGGCATTAGCCTCCTGGGTTCCTGGGACTATAGGTGCATGTCACCACATCCAACTATTTTTGTGAAAAAAATTTTTGTAGAGAAAAGGTTTTGCTATGTTGCCCAGGCTGGTCTTGAACTGCTGGGTTCAAGTTATCCTCCCGCCTCGGCCTCCCAAAGTGCTGGAATCACAGGCATGAGTCACTGTGCCTGGCCTGTTTATGTACTGAAAGAAAAACACATGCTCACATGGGATAATCAAGCAAAATCCTACTCTTCGTTACAGACTGGAAACACGAAGTCAGAAAGGTTGAAAGTAAAAGGGTAGACAAAGACATGGAAGGAAGCTGAATATTAAAAGTTTTTCTAGGGGTCAGTTATTCATACAACGTAATACATAATTTTGGTTAAACACAAAATAAGGACTTTATGTAAAGTAAATACTGGATCCACATTGAAAATTTTATAGTCATGATCTACATACAAAAAATTACAATTATAAAGAAAATTTTATCAGTATGGGCTACTCTAAGCCTAGGATTGGGGAAAAAAATAAGTAAGACCTAAATTACCTTCTTGCTTATTTTGATCTAATCGATACAGCTCAATTGAGCAAAAAATTTACACTTTCCCAACACCCATAAAAAAATTTACACTTTCCCAACACCCATAGTTTTGTCACAGTATTTGACAAAAAGTGCTCAGCTAATTCAACAGTAAAAATAGTGAGAATATTATGTTTTGTTTATAATGTAATGAAACAACAAATCAATGGGAAAATTAGTAATAGAAGCAGAAATGAATAATTCATATGCTTATATTACTTCTCACTTTCTCTATGTACTTTGGAACATGTGTTTTAATATCTAATACTTTTCAGGGTAAATTATTAAATGAAAAAACAGTGTAGTGTAATGTTACATGTTGCAATGTTTATAATATGCTACAATAATATATTTTAAAAGGGGAGCATAATTATATAAATATCTTTGTATATGCATAGCTTTTTCTGAGAGTATGAATCATATTTGTAATTTTTGGATGGTGAAGTAAGAAAAATGGCAGAATAATACCTCGGGACTTATTTTTTTCTTCAATTGTTTTTACAACGTGCCTGTAAAATCTATTACATATTTAACAAGTTTTAAACAGGTTTGTAAAAACTGTTTTATGGTATATAGAAACTCTGTAAGTGGGAACATACATAGAAGGCACTCACCAAATTATTGGCATTTGTTACCTCTGTCTAGTGAGAGTATACACAACATTTATTTCTCATTTATATTTTATGGTATTATTTTACTTATTAACCAAAAGTAAATATCATCTATGCAATTGGAAAAACCAGCTATGATCCTTTTTTTCATTTTGGAAAAAAATAATAAAACTATACTGAGATGGTTTCCCATAGTCTCCGGAAAAAATTTCTGCCCACTTTAATGTAGCTTTCAAAGCTGTTTACAATGCTATCCCAGGTCGTATCCCAGCACTAGTTCCTGCCTTGACAGCTTCATACACTCTGTATTTAGGCAAAGATTTGTGGCTCCAAATTTTTATAGTTCATTGATAAATTCATGTCATTTTTCATATTTTTTTTGTAGAATATATATACTTTCCCTGACTATCAAAAAGCCCCTCCTTTGTAAAAGTTCATTTAAATGTTACCTTAGCAGTATTTACAGGTAAAATTAATCCACTCACTCTTCTGATTTCCTTTATAATACTAGAATTAAATTCACATATTGTGTATGATACTGTGATGTGTGTGTGTGTGTGTGTGCGTGTGTGTGTGTGTATAGAAAAGAGAGAGAGAGAGAATGCAGGAGAGAAAACCAATGATAAAGTTAGTAAATGATTATTCTATTGAGCCCTGGTCTCTAATATAGTAAAAGAGTTTGGAAGTGGACACTCTAAATTAAATGTAACCAATTTATGAAGAATTTTATTTGCTCAGATAGTTTATATGATACAGATAATAATCTGACCTCCTAAAAGCTTATCATTGAGTGTGTGACTACGATTATTACTAGATTAAAATTTTCCTGTCATAAGCAAGTGTGGAAATCTAGAGATTGTTTGCAACCAGCCTCCTATTTGCTAATACAGAGGAATTCAGTCTAAAAGTCCAACAGAAATTTTTTCAATGTCACGATTAATTTTGAAAATTTTCATAAAAAATGGCCTAAGAACTGGCTGATAATGAGTTATATCATTAATTTCTTCATTTTCATACCAATATGATAAGCATTAAAAGAGATGGCTTAAATTGCAGGCTGCTTTAGACAAATTTAGAAGAATAAAAGTTGTGCCCAATGAGATAATTTATTTTTGGTCTTTCATTTTAATGCCAAATAATATTTCTATGATTTCCACAGTATTTTAAATTTAAAAAACTGTATTGCTTCTTTATTAGCCAATGAAAACTTTTTGTTGGAATTCCCATCAGATTTCAGTTTTGTGGTATAGTTTCATCAAAATGAATATAGTCATATTTCTAAAAGAAATATCTGTTTTTTTAATAGAAAATTTAGCATGTTTAAGTTACTCTGGATTCCTGAATTAATCATTTTAGGGTAGAATCCAGCATGTTTTTGACCTTGGGCAAAGTACCAAACTCTTGACCCTCCATTACTCGTTATCGAAATAATAATGCTTACCTCATACAGTTCATGTTGATGTTCTGAAGCTAAATACTGTAATAAATGACTCCTATGTTGCACTTCTATTTTATTACTTTTGTGAAGTGAAAGGGTTTAAAGTCTAATTATTTATAATTTAAATGCAGAGATAAAATGCTTTGCAAAATATTTACAGAGTAAGTATTCAATGCTTCAAATTGCAATACCTGCACAAAATAAATTGAAAGCAACTTCTATTAATTAATAACAATTCATTTCACTCTTGAGAATGGTATATCAATTATCAAAAGCTTATATGAAACTAATCCTCTTATAGATAGCAATTAAAAACTCTGGAAAAATCTGAAAATCAAAACAAAACAAAACAAAAACAAACAAAAAACACAACCACTGATAGAACCAGAATACACTTAAAGCAGGCAGAACTGAAGGATAAACGATCCTTGAAAGAGGGATTATCATTGGGTAATATTTGAGTTTTTGTGGCTTTTCTGTCCATACAGTAGGGAGTAGCCTGAGCTCAAACAGAAAGTCCAAATCCAGCTGTATTGAGAAGTTAGACCAGAGTTCAGGTCTTCCAGTAGAATTACAACTTCACGGGGAAATTAAGGAAAGGCAACAACAGAGAG
Organism: Homo sapiens; assembly: GCF_000001405.40. NCBI lineage: Eukaryota > Metazoa > Chordata > Mammalia > Primates > Hominidae > Homo > Homo sapiens. The sequence continues at coordinate 62,486,904 of NC_000006.12, read as the reverse complement.
AATAGCCCCCAAATCTGCACATAAACTTTGCCTACATCCTTGGTTCTCTCATGAACTGTGCACATACAAAGGATTATCAAAGTGTCTTGCAGATAGCAGTGGATAGAAGGTTGAAAGAACTGAACAGAGATTTTAACTGCTTTCTCACTGCAGTAGAGGCAGAGTTTAAAGTCTAGCCAAGTTAACTATTTGATACTACAAAACTCATCATTCACCTGGGCTCAGTGGCTGACGCCTGTAATCCCAGCACTTTGGGAGACCGAGGTGGGTGAATCACGAGGTCAGGAGTTCAAGACCATCCTGGCCAACATGGTGAAACCCCGTCTCTACTAAAAATACAAAAATTAGCTGGGAGTGGTGGTGTGCGCCTGTAATCCCAGCTACTCAGGAGGCAGAGGCAGGAGAATTGCTTGAACCCAGGAGACGGAGGTTGAAGTGAGCCGAGATGTGCCACTGCACTCCAGCCTGGGCAACAGACTGAGACTCCATCTCAAAAACAAACAACAAACAAACAAAAACCAAAAAACTCATCATTCTTTAAAAGAAGCTAACAGACCTCAGAGTCAATAGCGCCTTATTCACAGTGCCTAGTATACCCACCTCACAAGAAAGTAAAACACAAACACATTAAATACATAAATAGAAGGGAAATGTGATCCTTAGATAAGAGAATAAGCGGTCAATGATAATCAAACCTGACATTACCCAAGTGTTGAAATTAGGAAATGAGACTTCAAAGCAAATATTATAAAAAGGTTTGAACTTAAAGGTAAATATTATTATAAAGAATGAAAAGATTGGGATATCTCAGCAGAGAAATGTAAACCATTTTTTAAAAAAGTAAAACTAAAGAGTAAAGTATGATAAATGAAAAGACAACTCCATCGCCTTAAAAGCAGATTGGCAATGGCAACACAAACTGGTAAGTGATCTTTGAGATAGGGCAATAGAAATTAACCTACTTGAAAAACAGAGAAAAAAAAAGTTTTTAAAAAGTGAACAGAGCCTCAGTGACCTATGATGCAACATCAAGCCATCAAAAGTATGTGCAATTTTAATCCCAAAATATGAGAGGAAAAGAGAGTATTATTTAGAGTTTTCTTATTGTAATCTTACAATTTTTCCAAAAGTTTGAATTGACATACAAATAAAAAGCATCAAAAAGCAAAAAAAGAAAAAAATCATGATGTTTTTGTTTCTTCTTTTAAACTAAAACATAGTTTAATCATCTGATTCACTTCTATAAAAGTCAACACCTTTGGGCTATTTAGTAAGACACTTTATAGCAAATTAAATTAGAGTATTTACAGTAATGGTTAAAAATTCAATTATGGAAAAGTTTAACATGTGTATAATGCATGATGGAGGAGCTAATTATTCATATTCATAATAATCTTCGCAAGAGACTAATCTTTCCATGACTTTATTTCCAAAGACACAGCAATACTGAAAACAAAGACAGATTTAATTAAGTTTTAAAAATAGATTCTGAAAAATTAACTGCATTTGCTAATTAATTTGTAATGCAGAAAAACCTTCCATTGAGTGATATTAAATAAGTACATTTTCAGTGTGTCAATGGCCTAAAGCCTTCATTTGTCCAGATTTAGACAAACCTGCTCTTGAGAGTCTGGCTAATTTTAAAGAGAGTTGAGAGTCTGAATTTGGGTCACGTTGCTCAAGGATATTATAGAACAGAGTCCTTTGCTTTTCTTGAGTTTTATTCTTTATGCACACACAGAGTCATGCCCTCTTACATATACACATAAACACACAACTGCAGGGTGATTGAACAGAAAGGTTAAGTTGTTCTGATACAGAAAAGTGATTTTCTTGAAGTTAGTGTATTTATTTTCTCTGAGAGCATATGAAATAAAATCAAGACATTTAAAGTGTTAAAAATAATACTGTCTTCTAATTTAAGTAGCCGTGTTTTCAAAAAGATATTTTCCTATCAAGATATAAAGTATATTTAAAACTATAAGTAATTTGTAAATTTAAGATAATGGCGTGAAATCTACAGTAGTAATATTGCATAGCATTAATGTTACTAGGTTAAACAAGAGTACATATGAACAATGCAAAAAATAATTTATAACCTAAAAAATGGTGTTCATTTTTTAACTTTTAATGTGTTTTGGATTACACAAATTATAACTAAGTACATATTTGTTGAAAATGCCAAACTGTATAGAAAATATAAAACCAGGTCAGCCTTCACTATAGCCGTGCATCTACTTTACTTTCTTTTTCATATATAAACATTGTTAACATGTTTGTTTTTATTATAAACTTTCAATTATGGATTTTCAATTACATGTATATGTTTATATACTTTTATATTGTTTTATATTCATATATTTACCTGTTATTAAAAATTACTATAGTTGTAAACTTTTGTTCTTAATATTTGTGTCATACGTATTCTAATATTTATGACATTTCTTGTCTGTATACATGCCTTTAAAATTATTGCTCAGTATTCCCTTGTATAGATACCATATTTATGTTATTCCTTATTGAGGGAAATTTGATTTATACACAATTTTTACTATTACAAACTTGGATATAATTAATCTGGTGGTCATGTATCTTTGAGTACAGGTTAATTATGGGATCAAAGGCTTTGATGGATATTGAAAATTGACTTCAAACAATAATTGATTTATAATTTATGGAATATGTGGTATTGTTTGTGATAGGCTTTACAACACTAAATATTATAGAACTGTTCACTATCCCAAAAGATCAAAACAATAATGTTGTATGGAATTAATTGCCATTTTCCTATGATTATTTTTATCCATTTTTTCTTTCCTGAACTTTTTTGTTTTTATTTTTAGACCATTTTTATGCCACATTGTTAACTTTGTTCTTATCTATTTTTAAGAATTGTCTTTAGTTTCAGTTGAGTCTTCAGTTAGATGAATTTTTAAAATCAATAGTGGAACTCATGACATGTGATGTTAATGCTGAATAAAAAAATAAAAATTCAATATTTATTTGCTACCCAACATTAATAATAATGATGAGTTCTGGAAAATTTTGACCAGGAGTTTACTTTCATATCCTTGAATTTAGTCACTTCTGTAGGAATATGATAGGCACCCACACTAGTGGTGGTAGTGTTTATTATTCAAATTTTAAAAAGCCTTGTTTTTTTAAAGACACACCTATGTCTTAGAGTCTTATATTAGCAAAGGGAAAATATTTAGGAATTGACTCATTTTTTTTTAATAAATGAAGTAACTGGGTTCTGACAGATGGATTATCTTCCTGTTTATTTTATTTTAGAAAATTTCCACCTGCTTTATAAGCAGTTCTGTCTATTGACAGGCAAACTATGTTAAATGCAAGTTAATAATTAAAATTCTTAGGACATTCTTTGCTTACATAAAGAGTGATTGTTCCTATCCAAAAGCTTCTGCTTTTTGGAGTACAATATGAAGATATTTGCTCCAAAAAGTAATGCATATTTAGGACTTAATGGTATAACTGAATTATGAGACTGGTACTCAGAGTCACATCTCCTAAATCATAGTCAATGCTTCTTTCATAATTCAATAACTTGCTAACGTTCAGATATAATACTTGCACAAAAATAATTCTTAAGAGACATTATTGGATTACCTTTCACAGTGAAATGTCAAGAAGGTTCTCATTATGATTAAGCAAAAACCGTTAGCTTATTTTAATTTAGAGTTAGTAACTGGGACTAGACTACTGCAACTGGCTTTAGAGTAGCCAATAAATGACTAATTTTAATCTGATTGTATTTAGGCAATGATGCCTTCTACTCCTGATTACCAAAACAGACAACAGAAGCAAAGTTTTCACTCTTTGCATTTCACCATCATAATGGATTTCCTCATTTGTGTTCTCTCTGTTCTCTGTGAATTTTGTGATACTCCTTAGAAGGTTTACAAGAGTCTTTCCTACCTTTGTAGGTTGGAGGATAGCAGTACTCGCTAGGACAGACCTAGATGAAATGGTAATCTGGACCATTAAAAACACTTCCTTCTTGGAAAATAACAATAATCCAATGTTGAAAACTCTGATTTGCCATGAAGGAGGAGCAAAGGTCTCTGTCTTATGGCTTCAGATGTGCTTGTTGAAAATAAATTACATGGGATAGAATAATCCCCAATCTGAATAAAGAATGCCTTGAAGTCACAGCTCATTGCTAATTCTTCTTCCATATCACTTTTAAATTGTGGTTCTGGTGACCCCATTACCTTTTTGACAACGGATATTTATCCTGTGCAGTCCTCTGCTACAAAATCTAGTTGCTTATCCTTATCCCATCAGTAGTAAATTAGACCGAATGTGGGGGAAATGATGCTACACTTTAGGGGCCTTGGAAGTAAGAAGTCCACTTTATAGTATATACTGAAAATATGTGAAATGAAATAAACCTTCTCAATACACAGCTTAAGAACCTCCACTCTTTGAAATCTCCACCCGGAACTTACCTTCCTGGAAACTGTCTATCTAGAACAGAGCAGTGCAACCTCTTAACATTATCTCTTTAAGATAGGTAATTGCTGATAATTGCCCCTGTAGAATGGGCAGGATTCTGTAGGGGAAAATGAGCAGTCTACAATCATGCAGCTGGACTGAGCCAGGCAGAATTTCTCACCTTCCTCAGTAAAATACCATTTTCAGTGATTTTAAACATTCTACGTATAGGATAAAATTACATCAGAGATGACTGAGTGTGACTTGCTATGAACTTTTGAGCAACATGGCTAAAAAATAAATAAAAGGAAACATGTTAGCCTGTTTCAGTCCTGACTGTTTGCTTTAATGTTGAGGCTGAACAAAATGCTTGTAAGGAGATTGTGGTTTGTGCCTTATGAGGACAGCAAGGATGAAAATGAAAACAGAGAAAGTGAACAAATTCCAAAGAACAGGAATTACTATTGTCATCTCTTAAATGTCACTCGATTTCAGAGATCCTATTTACCATAGTTTAACAACATAGAAGAGTATGTCTTATTAAAATATTACCAGTTTAAGCAGAAATCTTGAGAATCGACATGGAATCATACTTAAACGAATTGCCTAGAGTACAGTGCATTTTACCTAGTAGTTGATGCCCTCTCTTGGCAATAACAGTCAATCCCAGATTGCTTTAGGAAGAACTATAAAAATGTAAATTACTGAGACCTAATTTGATCTTACTGCCTTAGCTAACTTCTAACACTTAAACTTAAAATATATGGCTGCTGGAGCTAATTAATACTGGTTAATTTGCATATTCAAGAGTCTTCCCATAGTACTCCTTCACTCTCTTAACTAATATGAGATGACTGTTTCAAAGCTCATGAGGCCATTTAGTGAATTGGATTGAAATTTGTGCCTTCATTTAAGAATGTTTGAATTTTTTCTTTTTAAGTTCCATATCTCAGTTTGAGTTCTATCTTGTATTCCTTACTAGTTTTCCTCCCTAGTGAACAGAAAACAGGAACTGTTTTGTATCAAATTACACAATTTAAATAAAAAGTAATGTCTTAAATTAGCTCAATAAAAAGTTTTAGAAGTGATTGTCTACTCATAAAATGATTAAACCCTGCATCTAAATACAGCAGAAAGTAAGCCTAGAATACATTTTTGCCAATAGGTCATACAATTACCTAGCAGAATAGATTCATAACACAGCAGAAAAAGGATTAAAATAGTTATATCGTTGGAGTATAAAATCTTTATTTGATATCAATATTAATGTTTCTTAACTTCAACACTCTCTAATTTTGAGGATTTTTTTGAATAAATAAGAATAAATGATTGGTAATAACAAAAGAACGTTTGTTACAAATTATGAGATGATATCAGCTATATATGCAATTATATATTACTCACAAAAATTAAAGCATATTTAGGTATATATGCCATCTATATGAAAAATAAATTCAAAACGTAGATAACTGATATCAAATGCAAGATCTGGTAACTCAAATCGAATACTCTAATATTTATTTAACTTTTTTTCATAAAGTCCATCAATATTCAGATTCTTATTCCTTTCTTTGGAAAACTACTTCAGAATTTCTTATCTTCCAAGGTTAACATTAACTTTTATCACCTGATATTACACCTCTCCTAACAACACCTCTGAAATATATGAGAGGAATCTGAGGAAAATGTGATTACTGAAGCACGTGCATGGTCACACCTGGTGACTAATATGCCAGAAAGAATACAGTATCTATAAAAGGTCTTAGCTATACATAACCAATAAATGGTAACATTAGAGATACATGGCTGAATTTACCTTAACACAGATAATAGTCAAACTTCATTTTATAGTTCTAATTAATACCTGAACCATCCAAGCACACAAATTCCAGACAAATCTAGAGCTAAGGAGAGAAGGAGAAAAGCTGAGACAATTGGTCCTCATTTGGAGGCTTTAAATGTAGTTGCAAGCAGATTTAAAATATGTTATTTAATGCCCATGGATCGCCAAAGTGTAATTAATTTATGTATTTGCCATCCTCTTTCTTGAAGGACAAAATAGCTCTTTGGACGCTCTCCTTCAGCAAGTTATTTTCCCCACCCTTTATTGTACTAGATTATCTCTTTAAACACTTTTTTCTGTATAAAACTAAACACCTGGTTTTTCGTTAGTCTAAAATCTCTCAGTTTTTGTTTTCAAGTGAATGTCCTAGCATGTTTTGTGGAGAGGATATACAGTTTCAGTAGAAGTAATTTAAGAATGCGGTGCTTTTAACACTAGTAGAGTTAAATCATCATTTACGTTCTCCTACCAGAATTGTCTACTCCAGATTCAAAGACATTGCTGGCAAATTCAATTACTTAGACATTGTGGTTTCTTTCAAAGTAAAAACCGAGTATAATTATTGGAGTGCATGAACCTGTCATTGTTTTTATAAGCTCTTATTGCCTTTTGTGAGCATTTTCACTATTAGAAATGTGAAACTTGCTCCTGAAACATGACCACCTCTTGTACCTGGATCAACATGAATCAACCCTGAAGGGCATACTTAGGATTGTTGAAATGCCAGCTAATGAGAGATCCCAGCAACTTTGAAAGCCTGACTTTCAGAAAACACTAGAAAAAGAAGTTGGGGATGAGTGCTTGATAGCACTTCTCCATACTAAGCATCTGACGTCAATTATAGTTAGAAATAAGAATAGTGCATCTTTTGAAAGCTAGATATCATGATTGGGTATTGCATAACATTATATAAAATAGTCCATTTGCAAATAAGAAATGTATAATGATGACTTGATAAAACATTAATGGTGCATATATTCATTTGTAATTTTTAAAACAAGTTATATGTTAGTTTATTTGAACTTTACAACATTCCAGTAAATTAATTATGAACAAACTGAAGCCCAGTACATTTAGGTAATATGTTCAATTCACACACTTAGAAAGTACAGAACCAATGTAATGGTCTCTCAATTAAAGTAAGTCCTCACTTAACATCACCCATGGGTTCTTGGAAACTGCATCTTTAAGTGAAACAACATATAACAAACCATTTTTTTCTCATCTATGTTATAATGAAATGATATTGAAGGAAATGGCATTATTTGGGCACCTACTGTAAGTCATTTCGCTTAAATTCATAGTTTCCAAGAATATCCAGTAGATATTTTATTCCACTGAAAAGCAAATAATTCCACGCTTGAAAATTTAATTCTTAGAAAATTCCTCCTTTTATTGAGGGAAAATGCGTAAATAAGTAAGTCTTTTTTATTAAAGTGTAAAGAACCTAACATTAAATCTGAATTCAATTAATGATTTTCTTTGCTGGTCTGAGATGCAGTGGTGTTAGTAATTCAGTTTATGATGTTTCAACTAAAACTAGGGATTCTCTGCAATAAAATACACACTATTTAAAATGTGTTGTGAAATATACATAATTATTAAATGAATGCTAAGAATAGAAAAAAATTGGTGTTTCCCCTAAAATACTGTCTTCTTTAAACAAACTTTGAAGGTAATTAGAATAACACTAAAAATTGTGACGGTGAAATTAACTAATGCCCATCTGTGCTGTGGTTAAGTTAGATATCTAACATAAAGGTGTCAAAGTAGTCACTTTCCTGTCAAAAAATAAGAGTGTTTTTACCTACTCCCAAACATAAAGCCAAAATACTCCAGTCTGGTGTCATTTGTAAGAATATCCAGTAGATTACAAACCACGGGATGGCTGTCCTCTAGGCTAATGTAAATCTCTCTACATATGTTTTTATCCTGTCTTTTTTAGAAACTCTGTTCTATTGATTATCATTTCACTCTCCTGTATCTACAACTGTTACTCATTCCTTCCTGTCAAAGTAAAATTTGTACCAGTGAAGTTAAATAAGTAAGGAAAACTTTATTGCAGCCTTTAACAATGGACAAGAGGGACTAGAACACAGTATTAACTCCACTGAAGTGAAGGCATGAGAGTTCCTAGTAGTTTGAGTTGGGGGATCATAGGCCATCTGTGTTTGCTAACTGGCCTTCAAAAAGAAGTCAATTTTCTGATGTCTTCAAAATGGAGGTAATTTTACAACTTGAAGCAAGGCCCATCAAAGTTAGGTTTCTACCGTCCCAGGGAGACTGGGAGATAGAGACTCTATTTTCCTTAATGATCACATTTCAAAGGAATTGTTCCCATGTCCTTGAGAAAGACAGTCTGCGGTCATAAAGCTAACAAGAGGATTTTAAAAATATTCACATCTCAAAGTGGCAGAGAAAGAATTTGCAAATACAATGTTTCTAAAGTAAATGCTGTAAGAAAAGGGAAGGGAGAGACTTCTGTGGTTAGGATATTTAGATTCTCTAACTGCCAGGATGAGAGCAAGCAAGGTCAGGGGTGTAAAGGCAAGCAAGCAAGGAATAAATAAACAAATAAATAAATAAAAGTTTGTTTAAAGCTTAGCCAAGCTGAAGGAAATGTTATGGCTGTCTTGGTCATATCAGTATCTAAACATACACAAGTATTTCCCTTCTTATAACAACAAACAAAACAAATCACAAATCTTCCTTTAACTTCTTGCCCTCCTTTTTATTTTACTCAGTGGTGTTGGGAGAAAATGGTAGAGATGAGTGGTCTTCTCTGACTGAGAATAATATTTTGTCATCGAATTGCCTATGCACAGTTATAATAAAAACAGACAGACTTTAGTCAACTGTATTATTGTTTTAAAATTCTCTATAGATAATCCAGTCTTATTGCCTCTGTATTGGGCAGAAAAGACTCCTCTCCACCTGCTACCCTTTTATGCCACTTAACCCTTTCCAACCTAACTTCTTAAAAATATTTTCTGTCATCAATGTGGTTAACTTAAAATACTATTTTCAAGCTTTATCCATGTTTTAGCATGTATTAGAACATTATTCCTTTTTCTTGCCAAATAATATTTCTTTGTATATGATCATTTATCCACTCATGAAATGATGGTCATTTGGACTATTTCCACATTTTGTTTATGGATGATGCTGCTATAAATATTCATGTACACATCTTTGTATGGACATATGTTTTTATTTCTCTTGGATAAAGACCTAGGAGTAGAACTACTGGATGATATGATAAAGTTGATTTTAAAATTTGAGGAACTATCAAACGTTTCTGAAAAGTGGCTGCCCAGTTTTACATTACCATTAACAATGAATGAGATTTGCAGTTCCTTTGCAACCTCACCAAGATATTTTATTGCCTATCTTTTTATTTTAGTCATCTGAATGGGTATGAAGTGATATTTCATCATAGTTTTGATTTGAATTACTCAACTGGCTAAAGATGTTGAGCATCCTTTTATGTGATTACTATTTGTATATATTGTTGGAGAATTGTCTATTCAAATTCTTTGTCCATTTTAATGGGATTATTTGTATTTTTATTACTGAGATGTAACAGTGTTTTTGTAATGTATTCTAGATATAATCTTTTATCAGATATATGAGTTGCAATGTTTTCTCCCATTTTAGGGGTTATTTCTTTATTTTCCTGATTTATCATTTACTGCACAAAAATATTTTAATTTTTATGAAATCCAATGTAATGATTTTTGTCACTTGTGCTTTTAATATCATATCTAAGATACCATTGCCTACTGTTGGTCAGTAATATTTACTCTCAGGTTTTATTCTAAGACTTTTAAAATTTCTAGCACTTATATTTAGGTCTATGATTCATTTTGAGTTACTTTGTGTATGATGTGAGGTATGGATTCCACTTCATTTATTGCCAGTGGATATCTAGTTTCTAAGTACCATTTGTACTTTGTTCCCTGCCTGACCCCATTAAATTGTCTTGACACCCTTTTCAAAAATCAATGGGCCACAAATATCTGGGCTCTCAATTTAATTCCATTGATCTATAGGTCTATCTGTATGCTAGTCCCACACTCTATTGATTACTATAGCTTTGTATTAAATTTTAAAGTCAGGAAGTGTTAGTACTCCAACTTTGTTGTTTGTCTTTGTGTAATCAAAGTTGTTTTGTATATTCTGGAGCCCTTGAATTTCCACATATGTTTTAGAAACTGCTTGTCAATTTCTGAAGAAATAATGGAGCTAACATGTTCATAGAAATTATAGTAAATTTGTAAATTAATTTGGGGAATATTGCCATCTTCATGATTTTTTGATCCATGAGCTTGAAATATCTTTCTGTTTTTAAATCTTCTTTATTTCAACAATGATGCTTATAATTTTCAGTGTGAACATTTTACATTTATTTTGTTAAATTTCTTGATAAGTAATTCTTTTTCATAATATTGTTACAGAAATTTTTAGAATTTATTTTCATAATGTTGATTTCTATGCATATAAGTACAATTGATTTTGTATATTGGTCTTTTATCCTGCCAAATTGACTTGACTCATTTATCAAGACTAACAGTTTTTTTATGAATACCTTAGAATTTTCTATATACAAGATCATATCACCTGCATATACAAATTGTTTTAGTTCTTTCTTTACAATCTGGAATTTTTTTGGGGGGTGGGGAACAAGACCAAATAGCCCTGGCTAGAACCTCCAGTAAAATGTTGAGTGGTATGGTGAGAGCAGACAACCTTGCCATTAAGAATGATGTTAACTACTGATTTTTCATAAATGTCGTTGGTCAGATTGTGTGTGATTTTATCAAGAAAGGGGTAATTGATTTTGGCAAATCGTTTTTCTGCATCCATTAAGATGATCATGTGAATTTTTTCCTTTATTCTTTAATATGGCATATTACACCAATTGATGTTTCAGATGCAAAACCAACTCTGCATTCCTGGGACAAATCCCACTTGGTTATGGCATTTAATCTTTTAAGATGTTCCTAAATTTAGTTTTCTAATATTTGGTTGAGGATTTTTTTCATCTAAATTCCTAAGAAGTATTTGTTTATAGTTTTTCTTTCTTGTGACATCTTTCTGATTTTGGTATCAACTGATTCAGATTTTGCTTTTCTAGGAAATTCTTTCCTTTTCCTTTATTTTTAAGAGATAGTTTTGCTATATATATGACTTTTTTTGTGGATCATTTTTACTTCCTACACTTTGAAAAAGTCATCCCACTGCATTCTAGTCTCCATTGCTTCTAATATAAAGTCAGATATTAATCTTGTTGAAGTACCCATGTATGTGATGAGTCATTTTTTTCTCCTGCTGTTTTCAAAATTTTTTTGTTTTTGGCTAACAGCATTTTCATTTTAATGTGCCTGGGTGTGGATCTTTTATGTTTATCCTACTTGGACCTTATTGAGCCTCTTATATGTGTAGATTAATGCTTTTTATCAAATTGAGGGAGATTTCAGGAACTAATTTTTTAATTTTTTTGGCTCCTTTCTCCTTTTTTCTAGTAATCCCATTTTGCATATGTTGGTGCACTTAAATGTTTCATGCATTTCCATGAGTCTCTGTTTACTTAATTTCCCTTTTTCTCTGTTCTACAGATTGCATAATCTCTATTGAACTATCTTCTACTTTACAGATTCTTCCTTCTGCCAGTTCAATTGTACTTTCAGTTAATCTAGTTAATTTTTTTTTTTATTTGTCAACTCCATAATTTTTTGAGATGGAGTCTCATTTTCTGTCGCCCAGGCTGGGATGCAGTGGCGTGATCTTGGCTCACGGCAACCTCCACCTCCCAAGTTCAAGCAATTCTCCCACCTTAGCCTCCTCAGTGGCTGGGATTACAGGCACCCGCCATAAAGTCCGGCTAATTTTTGTATTTTTGTAGAGACAGGGTTTCACTATGTTGGCCAGGCTGGTCTTGAACTCCTGACCTCAGGTGATCTGCCTGGCTTAGCCTCCCAAATTGCTGAGATTATAGGCATGAGCCCCCGTGCCTGGCCCATAATTTTCATTTTATTGTTTTTATACTTTCTTTATTTGATTTTTTTCTTCTATTTGATGAGACACTATCCTCAAACTTCACTTTAATTATTTACTTCTGTTTAGTTAGTTCCTTGAATATAGCCACAATGTTTTTAAGTCTTTAGCTACTATATTTGACACCTCGGTTACATCAAACAAAATTTCTATTATCAACTTTTTTCCCCTGCATATGTGTCATACTGTCCTGTTTCCTTACAATTCTTATTATTTAAAACTGGTCATTTTAGATAATACAGCATAGCAACTCTGAATATTAATTTGCCCAAGCCTCTGAGGTAATATTGTTGTTTGCTTGGTCATGTTTTTATTTCGTAAGTGATTTGAATAAACTAACTGTGAGGCTGATTTCCTTTGTGTACAGCCTCTGATATTCCTGCTTAGAACATTTTTGTTATTGTTTCTATCAGTTAGCCTGGATACACTGGGGTCTTCTCTGCATCAGAATGATGCAGACTTATTTGTTAAATGTTGTGCTTAAGCTCTCTTAGACAGTTAGGTGTTTACCCTTTACCTTTGGATGTGTAAGTGGCTTAAAAGTGGTTTTCACAATTCAGTAAGTTTACATTTTTTCCCCACATTCTGCCAGGTACTAGTAGCTTAAATTTTTCCTCTCTGATCTCTCCTAAAAAGGCACAGCCCTGGACACCCACACAATCTTCCAGACTGCCAGAGATGACTGCAATTTTGTTTTTAAGGCTTCTGTCCTGGGAGTTGTTCCTGGTTCAGGGTAGCTTCTCATTCAGCCAATGTTTGGTTAGGGGTTGTACTCAAACCCCTTCTTCGTATCAATTAGGTTTCTGACTTTTACTGATACATCTGCATGTGGCTTGGAGAATGTCATTGAGTCTATTCAGAATATTCCAGATTAGGTGCAAATTAGTGCTTGTGCAAAGCCTTCCCAATCCCCAGAATTGATTATGATTTCAGGAGAGTTCTTTTTGGCTGTTTACCTTTTTTTTTTTCCTCAAAGTTTTTATTGCTCTGCCATTTTCCTTATTTCTATAAGTATCATAGTATTATGAGTGCCCTCTTCATTATTTTCTACAAAATCTCCATCGTTTTCAACAATACTTTTAGGTGTTGAATTCTTCACCCTCTCTTCTAAATAACATGAGTCCCCTCAACATGCTGAAGAACTGTTAGTCCTTATGGCTTGCTTATTCTGACAGAACTTCTGCATCATTACATAGAATCTGGGAGCAGAGAAAATGGCCCACTTTTTTTAGAGTGACACTCCTGCTCCACAAGTGGGTGCTGGAGGTGGTAGCAGCTTCTAAACTTCTTGTTTTGCCCCTTCTAATGGGGAAACATTTTCCCTACAAACAATCTGAGGCAGGGTAATCAGGCACAGTATCAGCCTGCTGCATTACCAATGGAGCTGATTTACTGCTCAAATGCCTTAGACTCTCAGTTCTTACCAAGATTTAGTCAATTTTCTTGAAGGGATGATTCTCAAGAAGCTGTATATCTTTAGAACAATGTCCAGAAATTTAAATGGTTTTTTTTTTTTTTTGATAATTTTCTCTAGTTAAGTGACTGTTTTGGCAGAAAGCATATCTACTTCATTCCCCACTCCTCTATTTCAGAAGCCTGTCCCTGCTCATTCACTCCTGAGGGTATCTAGGCTCTTCTTCAAACCAGGAAGATAGCTCAGTGTCCATCAGAGTTTTGGCAGGGAACAGAGGCACATTCTGACATTAACTGAGACTAGTTTATTAAAAGTATGGACACGTTTAAGAAACAACCAGTTTTAGTGAAGTATCCAGGGTATGGGAATATTAGGAAGCATTATTACATGAATTAAAGGGGCAACAGAAGAAATTGTTTTAATTGAGTTTGTAGGGAGGTAAAAGCCATGAGAATGGGAACCCCAATGGGCTGTATCCGTGGATCCCACTCTTATTAATTAGTTTCCTGCTTTGTTGTGAGTTTTTAACCACTCAACCTCTACTGGTTTCTTCTTATCAGCCAAAATAATTCAGGTGCAGGGAAGAAGTGGAGTGTAACAAGGAAACTACAAACTCTTTCTCCTCCTTCCATAGTTGAATCTTTTGTTGGTTCTTTCTGTTGTGCAGTGGACCATACCAGGAATAGGTGAGAATGGATTTGGAGCAGGCAAATAGAGACTAATCAGCCCTACTACAAACATGATTACTCAAACATTCTAGATATTAAAGATTATCACAGCCTATGGCATTATGTTAACTACTACATCTGACTCCTTTAGATATTTTCACAACTGTGCATCCAGGCTGAGACTGACAATCAGCTTTACATACGATTATTTAAACTTTTTACCATTTGGACTCTGTAGAACTTATTCCTCCAGTTTTAATTTCTGGCCCTCAGCATCCCCACCAGCTTGCTAAAGGGTCCCTAAAAGGCCTTACTTCCTATACATTGGCATGGCCTTTGCTAAGTATCAATTTTAATTATATCTAAGGATGAGCTAGCTACAAAATGTGCCTGAAGGCAGAAGATGAAGTGTGACTTGAGTTTATATGTTGAAGAAAGACTTACCATAAAGGTAATAATTTAATTTTGGTAAAGTTGATAAAAATGTCTTCTTTTTTTAAAAACATAGTAATCTAAGAGAACTCAATGTTTTAAATTATTTTTTATCTGATAGAATAAAATCATATTACATATATTTATAAACTTGGAGAAGAACACTTACTTTTTTTTTATAGAAGGAGGAACTTCACTCAGTTTATTGGGTACCTGAAAATAATTTGAGTATAATTGAAAGGAGTATGACTTAAGGTATAATTAGATACATTTTAATACTGAATGGGTATATGACATGAAATTACATTCACTCAATTTTAGCAGTAGCAGTGTGTTAAACACTGTGAAGTCTTTAACATATATCAAGAATACATAGTTTGGACCACAGATACTTTTTGTCAATTAAATCAAAGATTAACTTATATTGCCTTCAGCATTCTCAATTATTTTCCCATGAAAAACAAATAAAAATTACTTAAAATCTACATATTCTTAATGCAAAAATGTTAGTTTGAAAGCTTAGTCCTGACATTAATTTAAAATTTAACATTATATTGTAAAACATGTTTAATATCCTACTATGGAATTGACAATTTTTTTTCCTTTCCTAAAGGCCTAATTGGTTATGATCTGTACCCCTTTCAAGAGAAGGGCATCTAATGTATTTACAGGAATTGGAATCCATCCTCAGAATAATGGGGGACACATTCAACAATTATGATTGCAAGAAATCACCTACTCTGGGCTTTTTGAAATTTTTAAATAATCGATCAAGTATTTTAGACAGTGTGTGATTGGAAAATGTCTGGGAAGGTCAGTGAAACATGACAAATTACAGTGCAATTCTGATAGGTTTGTGATTCTGCAATCCATCTTACAAAACCCATGTCTACAAGCAACAGAAGCCCAAGCGCATACTTATGACTAGATTTTCAAGGGAGTTGCAGCTTCTCATTGGGATTATAATTTAGTTTAGGGGGTTAAGAAAAATGCTACTTATGGAATTTTTCTTAAGATTGAATATCTCTAATTTTAACTTTCTAATTTAGCTTTCTGTGATTTTTGCATCCTGGCAGTGTTATATGTGTATTTGAAACAGAAGGTTAAATGAGAACATTTCATGCTCTGTCAAGAGAATTTCATAAAGAGTGTGTCGAAAACAGGAGAATTAAAAGTGACATTGAATATAATTTTATTTGATACACACAATGAAAATGGGATGTAACTTTATCTAGTCAATGATACCTAGCCATAAGAATATTTTGATTCTTTGTGTTAGGAAACTATTTCCTTCTGTAAGTATTGTAACATAGTTTTCCCAACAAGAAGCAAGTCTCCATTTATTTGAATAGATCTTGGCAGTAAATTGTCCAAAATATACTAAGCCCTAATTTCCAAGTTGGCATCCTTGCTGGGGAAAGAGAAGGGATAAGTGCTGCTCTGAATGAGAGTTAAAGTGGTTGGTCCTCAACTGATGGAACGAAGTGGGAAACATGAAGAAAGGTTTTAACCCCAGAAAACTCTGATCATAGATAACAAACCATAAATTAGGACCACTATTTAGAAGCATATTTACCATGAAACTGATAAATTTCATGGTTTACAGCCCCTCATTTTCAAAGATTCTTTCTTGGTAGATATCCTATTAATGTGTTCAAACAAGTCATGTGTTTTTGTAACATTGCAAAAGTAACTCGTTGGTTAAAATAGCGCCAATCTACAGTTTTCTTGGGTGGTATTGGCTTAGGTATAGGCAATTTTGGGATCCAACAATAGGGACGTTGAGTTCAGATATATTCAGTTACAGTTTAACAGGTACAATTTTGCAATTCGTGATCACTTCTATCTTTAATTAAATTGTTGCTGCTGTCTTAGTCTAAGAGTGGTTACAATATTCCATAACCTCAATATTCTGACACAGGGACTCCTGCCCAGCAGGTGAAAGAAATATGATCAAATCCTACCTTTCCAAGCACAAGTAAGTAGGTAGTGCAGGAGAAATAGGGTTTGAAATGCTTACAACTCCAAGCTGATCTTCAGAAGGTCTAAATATAAGAGCTCATATATGGAAGTAAATTATAACAATTCTAAATATTTACCTGATATTACCAAAAAATGAGCTATAAAGCTGAAAGTAACTTTCTCAACTACCAATAAGAAACAATTTTTGATTATGCTAAAGAAAAAATATTTTTCATTCTTTCAATTTATTGTTATGAAAAAGCTATCAAAGGCTACAGCTGCAAAATATTAAAAAAATGAGATATTATTATGGGGATAGATGAGGCAGTTAAATAAAAATGTGTTGTTTTTTCATGTTTTGTAATACCTTTGATATTTGTCAGCTTTTTAAAATTTGGAATTTCAAAAAAATGGGAAATATTTTCTCTTTCTAAATAAATATTCAGTGTTGTACTTAGTCTATGTTCTTTTGCTTTTGTAGAATATTGGAAATTGTATGAGCTTCATGTTTCACAAAACCCAGACCTGCTGCTTCCTTACTGTCTTCCATGATATTTTTTGCTCTAATCTTTCTGTGACCAAATCCTACCACCCTATTGCCAACACTCCCAGAAGACCTGGGATTAGTATGAAGTTAATCTTCAATCCAAAAAAATCCATCAACTCTCCTGCAATCCATTAACAGGAAAATGTTCAGATTGCAAATTGTTTTTCTCTGGGACCAGGGATATATGATTCACTGAGGTAGATATTTGGTGTTATCCTTATCTTCACTATCAAATCTTACCCCATCTAAAATACTAGTTCTTTCCATTGTAGATGCCTAGAATTGAGCTTAAATTATACAGATATGTTAAGAAATTTTTAAATTAACCCCTTATACCTTCCCTTAATTACTCTAGCTATTTTAAAAGTCATTTCACAGTGGATTGTCAATGTTTCCTTTCTTAAGTGTATTAGTCTGTTCTCACACTGCTAATAAAGGTATACCTGAGACTGGGTAATTTATAAAGAAAAAGAGGTTTAATGGATTCACAGTTTCACATGGCTGGAGAGGCCTCACAATCATGTCATAAGGTGAACGGAGGAGCAAAGTCACGTCTTACGTGGCGGCAGGCAAGAGAGCTTGTGTATGAGAACTCCCTTTTATAAAACCATCAGATCTCATGAGACTTATTCACTATCATAAGAACAACATGGGAAAGACCCTCCCCCATGATTCAATTACCTCCCACTGGGTCCTTCCCAGGACATGTGTGAATTATGGGAGCTACAATTCAAGATGAGATTTGGGTGAGGACACAGCCAAACCATATCATCAAGCAAAAGCAATTTAAGACTATATGTTTGCATTTACTTAAAATTAAATTTTTAGAAAAATGAGGATGTTTTGAAATCCTTCTTGGGAAAATTCACTTTTTCCCTTTTTCAGTGTGCCCTACTTCCTTCCAGTAAAAAAATAATGAAGTCAGTGCTCATAGAAATTACTTGTGTGCTTCTCATATTATGTATGGCTTTCTGTCTTAGATTTTAGTTACAAATCAAACTGACTAAATTTGTCAATAAGTGTATAAACTAATTGAGGACAGAAAAGACATCTTAATTCTTTGCAAATAATGAGTACAGAAATATTTATTAAAATATCAGTACAATTTCATTGTTGCTCTTTATTGTGTAGTCATATCCAGAGCAATGTAGTAATTAATTTTTGGCTACCTACAGCTGATTACATATTTACATTTGATTAGAGAAAATATTGATTTGTTTTATTGAGTTATATATCTTTTATAACTTGAATCTTTATTCTAGTTTGGAATCTGTCTTTTATTTTTAAGGATTTGACATTTTTATTTTTTAGTTATTTGGTTATTTAAAGTTATAAAATATGTGGAGACTTTTTTAAAAAAATAAGATAGGGAACATTATAATATATAATCCACTATCTTTCTGCCACAAATTTTACCATGAGAAATGATGTTTTTGTAATATTTAACTCTTTAAATATAATTTACACAAACAAATTTAGTTAGATATAGTCTTGATAAAATATTGAAAAAAGCAGTATAATATATTTAATAAGAAAATTAAAAATATTTAACTTTAAAACAACAGTTATATTAGATACTGAAAATATAATATGATATTTCTATAGCATATTACTACTTTAGTGGCACATTTGCCAAATAAATAAGTCAATTAGACTGATGTCTTAAGAAAATCTCCCAATTGAAATGACATAATGACCATAAATTTTTACTATTTATACTAACAGACAATCAATTGGCCCTTAATCACCTTGATAAATAGCATTATAAATAGCACAAAGGAGTTCAGTTGAAAGTGACTCAGATGATCCTTTGCATTGATATTTCTATTGTATATTTTCAGAAATTATTTGGAATTGAATAAAGGGCAGAAAATGTATTTGAACAGCTTTTGTTAAGCATTTTATTAATTAATTTAAACATTTGTAACTGAACAGTTAACACTGCCTAAACAACAAAGTGCAAATCCTTTTCCTGATTATCAAATTTCCTTCCTTCCTTCCTTCCTCCTTCTTCTTTCTTACTCTCTCTTTCTCTCTTTCTTTCTCTCTCTCTTTCTCTTTCTTGCTTGCTTGCTTTCTCACTCTCTCTCTCTCTTTTTCTCTGTCTCCCCTTCCTTCCTTCCTTCCTTCCTTCCTTCCTTCCTTCCTTCCTTCCTTCCATGGCTAAGTAGTTACCAGAGGCTGGGAAGAATAATAATGGGATGAAGGAGAAGTGGGGATGGTTAAACAAGTACAAAAACAGTTAAAGCATAAATAACATCTAGTATTTTATAGCACAACAGGTTGACCACAGTCAACAATAATTTAATTTTACATTTTAAAATAACTAAAAGAGTATAATTGGGTTGTTTGTAACACAAAGAATAAATGCTTGAAGTGATGAATACCCATTTACCCTGACGTAGTTATTACACATTGTATGTCTATACCAAAATACCCCATATACTCCATAAATATATGCTTCTACTGTCTTTCCTTCAAGCTCAGGTTTCTCTTCCTCCATTAATACTTCCAAAAACATTTCAGCTCACTTTAATCTCTTTTCCCTTTCTGAACCTCTGAAACTTTTTAACCACTCATTACAAATTAATCTTTAAAATTCCTTATGGCTTCACATTTCTCCATGTCTGAAAGAGTACACTCAAATATTTTGCACTGTAATTACCATTTCCCCTATTTTAGCTTTCCTATATCATCTCTAGTCTATGACATCATCTACATTTGTAGAACCCATTTATTTTTCCCTAGTTATCCACCTTATTCACTTTACACCCTTATTGACCGTATCACTTTCACAACACACTTTCATGCCCCACCTTACGCAAGTACCTTGCTGCACTGATCTGATAAAAACTCCTTTGACTAACCCAAAAATTGTCTTATGTATATACATAATATCTAACAAATTGATATCTTCTAGGGCAAAAATTATGTAGCTATGTAGATCAGTGCCATTGCAAATCTAGCCTTCAGCCTCATTTGAAACTTCAGTGTGCATAGAGAATCCTTTTGTGTCTTACCTAGCTAACTCTATCATTTTTTTAATCTTCAACAATCTCTCCAGCCTTTGCATTTTTCTTAAGCCCCTTTCACAACATCCACCACAGTCACTTTCAATAGACTTTTTCCTTTTTTCTCTGACTCTAAATGGATGGGTTAAATTGAATTTATTTCATGAACTCCTTCAAATTCAAGATCCTGATAACAAAGTAAACAGGTTTGCTATGATATTCCTTCATTTCATTTAGTCCATGCGAAAAAGATACTCCATTTCCTCTTCAATTCAACCAGTTCATGTCCAGATAATGGCTTCTTTAAAATCACTGTAATCCTTCTCATCTACTAGATCTTCTTCTCTACTACTGCATTATTTTTAACATTCTACATGCTTTTTTTATACCTAAAGTCTGACCAGTCCTCTCTCCACTCATGAACAAATTTGTTATCTATATTTCTGTTCAGAGTTATATTTCTAATCTTGTCAGTTTTTGCAGTTTCTATTCAACCAAGTGCAGATGAAAAATATTTTTTAAAAAATAATAAAAATATAAGAAAAAACACAAAAACAATACAGTATAACAATTATTTACATAATGTTCACATTGCATTAAGTGTTATTAAGTAATCTAGAGATTATTTAAAGTATACAGAGCATGAAAATATTGTTCCATTTTATATAAGGTACTTGAGCATCTTAGGTTTTGGTATTCCCAAAAGGTCCTGGAATCAATCCCCCACAAACACCAAGAGAAACAACTGTATACATAGATTTGATACATTATTGTTTGCTCAAAATTCTCAATGTCTTCTCTTTAACTTTGTTTATAACCCAAATGTCTTAGCCACACTAATCAGGCCTATCATGAGTCTAGCTTATCATTCAGCTGCCCTCAAACCACATACCTCACATTTCTTATATACCACATATTATCTTTTATTTTGTATCTTAATATATGTTGCTTCTTCTTCCTGGAATGCCTTTTCCCAATCTTTCCTGTGAAAATTCCCATATGTAACTTAAAGTTTGCCTGTTCTATAATATTCAACCAGACAGTTCATCTTCCAACGCCCTTATCCACCAGTTTGGGTTTCACACTCTTCTTTGTGCTCCCTGGCATTGTGCCTGCTTTCTTTCGCAGTTATCTCTGCAGTGCAGGTGCAGATAGCTTCCTTTACCCAAGATCACATTAGCTTTATTACAAAGGGCTTTTCTCCCAAAATTAGCTTGCTGCAAACCATCAAATGATCCCATTTATTTTCTTCTGGTTTTGCTTTAACATATAATATTTTAAAATGCTAAAGTTGTATACTCTGTCTTTAACACTGTGGGTAAAATGAATAGCACTGTTTAGCACATATTATGTCACATTTACTTGGCATGATTTGTATATTTTATTAAGCAGTAGGCATTATTGAACAAAGTACTTAGTACTGTCAGTCTAATTCTGGGCATAAGGAGCTGGATTGAAGTGTCTATGATTTATTGGTATGTAGTGGGCAGTGAGAGCTTCCCTAAAGGAAGGTTCGAAGATTATGTTTAGATATATGGATATAAACACAGAAAAATCTTCATCATTCATATTTTATCTCAGGTCCCAGTAGATAGTACAACTTTATTCATTTGTATATTTTATTTCTCCAATATATATTTATTGAGTATCCAATAGATTCTAGGCACTGTGTTAGTTCATGGTTATATGCTGGCTAAATACTGTAGTTGTATCTAGCTGTTTGACACAGTCTTTAATCTTACCATTTCAGTTTCAAATACAAAGTGACAACAATATCACATATCAAATAAGGAGAAATTAAATGCTTCTGATCTAATATAATTATTTGCAGGTATAAGGTAGACAAAGACAAATTCATGTCCAGCCTTGAATGATGCTAGAAGAAAAATTTCCATTAGATTTCTGCATAAGCTTTCATGTAGTCTCTATATGGATTATTAGCAGATTAGAGTCTTTATTAGGCAATGCATATCCACCTTATAGCTGAGGAACACTTTTCAGTTATTAGTAGTCTACTGGGTCAGAAAAAGTGTAGCCATTTTCTGTTTGGAAGTGAAGGAAGAAAATAACCATTTTCGAATACTTGTCATGATTCTGTCAGTGTGCTAGCCATTCTTATCTGGTATTCCATTTGATATAACAGATCTACTATTTATACTCTTGCTCTCATTCCATGAATAATGATTCAAATATTACGAAAAAAGGCATTCCAAAGGCAAATATATAATACATATCAGAGTTATTAATAAGATTTTAATTCAGCATAATACTCTTCCTATTACCTAGTTGCTATATGATCAACAGCACTGGTTTGAATGGGCCTTCATCTGACCAAAGACACAGCAAAGTCAAATAATTTCTTGCTAGAGATGTGGCTGTAGGGTAGTAAACCAATGAAACCAGGAATAAGCACAAGAAAGCTTATTTGCTTTCAAGGAAATCATATTCTACAGTTAGCAAAAAATAAATTAAAATGTGAGGAACAGTCAGTATGAATATTTCAGGCCCCAGTAGACAGTACAACTGAAAAAGAATTACATTTTGAACAGAATTAATAATATCACTTAACGGAGATGTCAACGGAAAAAATTCAATAGATGAAGAAATGTGTCCGTCTGATAGATTTTCATGACAAGTTGCCAGGGAGGATTATTTCAGGAAAATAATACCACACTAGGTGAATTAGTGTCAAGATTTAGCCCCTCATACTTTTAGAACTATTTTGTAGGAATTTAAGCTCTCAAACCTGTCTATGAAGATCTTATTTTCTGCCTCAGAGCAGAGACAAACTAGCACAAGATCATCTTACATGATTTTCTATCCTCCTAAAAAGTTTCATGAGAATCTTAAGCTGAACATAATCCAGAAGTGACACTGATATTTTCCTTTTGAAACTATAGGTTTGGCTTTATTTGTTTCCCTTATCAGAACTAAACAGAAATTAAGATCGAAATTATTTTAAGATGTTTTTAAATGCAAATTTAAAGTATTTGTATCTAACTTGTATTTCAAATTTGTATTAAAAACATCTTAAAATAATTCCAGTCTTAACTTATTTTTAGTTCCCACAAGGGAAACAGATCAAACATGCCTGTATACAGTTAGAAACCCTCTGTAGTCCTTCATTGATTTAGTCATTCAATAATATCTGGGTGTGTATTTTGTGCCAGGCTCTGAGCATGTACTAGGAATATAGAGGTACACAAAATAGGCATGGTCTCTGCCTTCATGGAGTAGCAATGTAAGGGAAAAACACTTCATAATATTTAAAAAATGCTTTAAGGATGTGAGCCATCTTGGTATACAGTCTAGATAATCCTTCCAAAATATCTGCTGGCACAAACATTTTAATAAAAAATGAATTAACTTGCTGTTGGTTATTGTAAGGGGTAACTGACATTAAAGGAAATGTGACAGCTTTTTTTGCACATCTTCTGGTATTGCTATTGTGAAGAACTTATTGGAAATACAGAACCATTTGTTTATTCCCTGTAATGAGCATCTCTCAGTTTTGCTTTCCTGGTATCCATCCCTGCTATGGTCTGGTAACAACACCTGGATTTTCTGTGAGGAATTATTATTCTTTTATTGTACAGTTTGTGTGTCTATCAGTTCAGGTGCCCTGTGTTCTTTTTGCCAAGAAGCAGGCAAGAGACTCAGGCCAGAACAATTTGAGCACTTTTTTTTTCCTGGGCATTTTGAGTCAAAGAGCATAAAAACACAGATAAGGAAAAAGTTGATTTGTCCCCTGACAGGACCCTGAGGAGTTAGGCCAATAATTCTGCAGCCTATATTCTCTTTGTAGCTCTCTTCTTTGAATTTTCTTCAACTAAACCCTGCCCTAAGTGTTAGGGTACAATGGTGAACAAAAGAGATGTGATCTTTGCTCTGACAGTGCTTAAAACACAGTGGGGAGGATAGACATTTATCAAATAATCAAATAAATAAATTAGTTGCAAATTGAGATTAAATAAAGGCCAGAAAAAGATTAAGATTGAGTATAAATGAGGTGTTCTTTTTAGTTAGTATCATGGAGGGTGTAAGCCCCTCCTCATCTCTCTTACTTGGAGGGAATTCTAAGATTCGTTGAGAATTATAGTTTAATTTGGTGTATATAGGTAGATACACATGAACTCACACAGAAAACCCCAAGAAACCGAAGACAGCCAGCAGCCTCCATCGATAGTTTGTTTGTTCTATCTGAGGAATATGTGGTACAAACAAAAGTGTTTTTTTTAATTCAGTAGACCACTAACGTCATCAAAACTAAAATGATATGAATCAAAAAGGTGAAGCAATTATAATACTGTTAAGTTTGTATGGAATAAATATCAGGCACTCAACACTTCACATTATATACTTAAAGTATAGGTAGCTAAGAGATAATTGAATATTACATGAAGGTAAACCATCTGCCTTAATGATTGTGGTAGATATTGCCTCACAGTTGAAACTTTTCTATGCAAGTCTTATATTTCTTTTGGAAGAAAGACAGTCATGTTGTATTTCTCTTTATAAAACATTTTCCATGACTCAAAAAGCAAAATCAAAACAAAAAAAAAAACAAAAAAGTCATTATCAAAAATAAATTTGCCAAAAGACTGAAAATATAAATTTAAGTAAACAAAGGTAAAAATCAAGGTTGAATAGTTATTTATTTACAGGTTAACTCTTCTCCCCATATAACATTCATGCAACTGAAAACAGCAAATATTATAACTATACTTAATCCTGTAAATTTTTAAATTTCTTATTTGGTTAAAAATATTTATAGGTGAACCCATTATCTAATTTATGGATTTAAAATATTTCTTATTAATCACAAAATATAATTCTGATAAAATATTATAAATATTAGCAATAATCTTAATCATCAACAGTAACCCAAATCCAAGGAAGAAATGGAAATAATGATTGGCAATATAAAAACAAGAGTTAGAATTTCGCATGATTCTTGGTCTTGCATCCTGGTGTTGTGACCCAGCTCATAGGTGTTCACTGCTGTTGTCATGGTTCATCCGCTAAACTGCATTGTCAATGTTTCCCAGAAGATGGGCATCATCAGGAATGGGGACCTGCCCTGACCTCAGCTCAAAAATAAATTCGATTCCAAAGAATGACCACACCCTCTTCAGCAGAGGGTAAAGAAAATTTAGTATTTTTAATTAGGAAGAACTGGTTCTCGATTACTGAGAAGAATCAACCTTTAAAGTATATAATTAATTTAGTTGTCAGTAGAGAATCCAAGGAACCACCGCAAAGACCTCCTTTTCTTGACTAAAGTCTGGGTGATGCCTTAAAACGTATTGAGCAACTAAAATTAGCAAATAAACAAGACGTGTTTTTTACAGTGGGAGGCAGTTCTGTTTATAAGGAATCCATGAATTGAGACCATTTTAAACTATTTGTGACATGGATCATGCAGGACTTTCAAAGTGACACGTTTTTTTCCCCTAGAAGGTGATTTAGAGAAATATAAACTTCTCCCAGAATACCCACAAGGTGTTGTCTCTGATGTGGAGGAGGAGAAAGGCATTAAGTACAAATTTGAAGTATATGAAAAGAATGATTAATATAAAAGCGTTTCCTGATTTATTTCAAGTTGTTCTCCCTTTCTGTAAAATCTTATATATTGTTACATTAAATAAAAAGATTTTGTTGACTTTAGATCTATGAATTATTATTTCTAAGCAGCATTTTTTATTCCCCATTAATCTTAATTAGACTATATCAAATACCATTTATAAAACATTCTTGCTATAACTAAGTGCCTCTCTAAGGCCAAACTGTCTCCAGCACCTGCTGCGGAGAGATGCCATTTCACACCCATCACATGTGACACGTTCACCAGTCCTTGACGTTGTCAGGTTTTTAAATGTTCGCAGTATTTATCAAAGGTGAAGATGCACATATCCTTAAAAAAAAGAGTTAGATTACATAAGCTTGTTTTCTGACTCCTGCTATATATACTTGCACCTGTTTGTCATCATTACTTTTTCACCCCCTTTTGGAAAATACGTTTTAAAATTTTGAAGAAAAATCTTCATTATTAATCATAAAATTTTCCCAGGTTATCCATCAAAAGACACTTATGAATTCTATGTGAAGTTTGCCAGTTACTGAAACATGGTACACCTCAGATGACTTCCTGATTTTAATTTTATATTTAAAGATGTACAAATAAGTATCTTTTTGTGACTTAGATTTGCAACTCATTTTATCTTAATATTATAGACATATTTTTCTGTTTTTTTTTTTTTTTTGGTTTTTAATAATCAACATAGTTGAAATGGATAGATATGGGATTTTAGCCCCCAAGCTTTTCTACATATTCAAATTTGATCTAACCCATTTTAAACTCTAGACATACTTCAGGCATATCTAAATGGTTAAAACAATTTATAAAAAAAATTATTTAACTTTTCTTATTAAAACTTATTGGCCTGGCGTGGTGGCTCACGCCTGTAATCCCAGCACTTTGGGAGGCCGAGGCGGGTGGATCACGAGGTCAGGAAATCAAGACCATCCTGGCTAACACGGTGAAACTCCATCTCTACTGAAATACAAAAAAAAAAAAAAAAATAGCCCGGCGTGGTGGCGCGCTCTTGTAGTCCTACCTACTCTGGAGGCTGAGGGAGGGGAATCGCTTGAACCCGGGAGGTGGAGGTTGCAGTGGGCTGAGAACGCGCCACTGCACTCCAGCCTGGCGACAGAGCAAGACTCCGTCTCAAAAAAAAAAAAAAAAAAAAAAAAAGACAAACAAAAAAACTTATTACAGTGAATTACACAATGATTTGAAATAGTTATAGTACTCACTGTTGTAACCTGTCTTTACATTTCATTAAATACTTTGATAAAACATGAGTTTTAGAAGAGGAAGAGCCTTTTGTTTTTAAGGATATATCACAATTTATTTATCCAATCCTATTTAATGGAGCATTTTATTTGTTTTCCATCTTACTTTACTATGTAGATTTGCAAGAAACATTTTAACAAAATTTTTTTTTTGCATCCAAGTCTTTGGTTATTTTTAAATGATTAGTAATTGGAATTAATACTATTGGATTTGTGCTGTATAATTTGGGATTTTAGAATAAATTTTATTGTTTACTTTCATTTTTTTGCTATATATCTTTACTTTCAAACAGAATTGCTTTCATAAAATGTGTAACCATATTTTCAACAATTATTTAAATAATGATTGCATTACCTGTCCTTTCAGACCGCAAATTTTCATTCTGGAGTTTTGTGGTGATTTTTTTACATTTATTTTTTAATTGAATGAAGTGAATGTTATTCATCCTAAGCCCTCTGGCATTACGAGGTAGTTGGGGAGAGGTCATTTTGGCTGTTTTCCCCCCTAACCTCTCCATTATCTTCTCTTGTTTAACAAAGCAGAAAGGAAACCTAAGAACAAGCAACAGTTTTCTTATTGAAAAAACAAGTTTGCTCTCTGGGCTTACACAGTATATAATTTTTAACTTATAGTTAAATAATTTTAATAGAATTTACTTGAGAATTTATCTTTTCTGTATTTTGTAATATGTGAAGGACTCTTTTAGATGTACAGAATTTTCTCTTTAGCAGAGAAAGTTAGTTTTCTACCAAATATACTTATTATTTTTATTCTATTTGTTTACACATTGTCCTCAAGAATACGTACGAAAACTCTATTGGGGCCAGGTGCGGTGGCTTACTTCTGTAATCCCAGCACTTTGGCAGGCTGAGGTGGGTGAATCATGAGGCCAGGAGTTGGAGACCAGCCTGGCCAGTGAAACTCCGTCTGTAATAAAATTACAAAAAATTATCTGGGCGTAGTGGCAGGCACCTGTAATCCCAGCTACTCGGGAGGCCGGGGCGGGAGAATCGCTGGAACCTGGGAGGCGGAGGTTGCAGTGAGCCAAGATCGCGCCTACTGCACTCCAGCCCTGGCAACAGAGTGAGACTCCGTCTCAAACAAAACAAAACAAACAAACAAAAAAACCAACATAACTCTATTAGATTTTTTCCTTGTCTTCATTACTATCACCTTTAACTGTTTTCATCTATTTGATATTTCTCTAAATCTCTTGACCATATTTATTCCCATACAAATTATTTGGCTTTCTATAGTCCATTTCTACCTTTACTAGTACAAAAGGAGTTTTTTTTTTTTTTTTGCATTGTGTCATTATAATTTGTGGTTCCTTGTAATATTTCTAACTTTATTTACCTTTTTAAAAATCTCATCTCAGTAAAAAATTATTACCCTATCTTTTAATGTGTTCTTCATAAAATTAATGTTTATTCCCAATAACCATTCTTTTCTGTTGCCCATGATATGAATGATGAAATGTCTATTTATCCTGATTATTCCCTCAAACACCATACCCCCAACTATGATATTAGAGTTTTCTTGAATTCAGACACTCCTTGTGCATGAATTTAGGATCCCCTGTTTACACCTTAAGCAATCTTGATAACTAAGGTAAACTGACATCAAAAGTCCAGGAATTCAGCATTTTGGGTTAAATAGGGACTAAAAGCAGCAGTTTTCCTACTTTTCTTTCTAACATTAGCTAAATTGTTGCTCCCAAATATACTTGGTTTTTCTATGTCCTCCAATAGCATATTTGTGATCTAGAAGAGAAAGGGAGCTAAGAGGTACGATATATATATTAAAAAAAAGATCCCATCAAAAAGTGGGCTAAGGATATGAACAGACAATTCTCAAAAGAAGACATTTATGCAGCATTTTCATAAACATATGAAAAAAAGCTCATCATCACTGGTCATTAGACAAATGCAAATCAAAACCACAATGAGATACCATCTCACGCCAGTTAGAAAGGCAATCATGAAAAAGTCAGGAAACAACCAATGCTGGAGAGGATGTGGAGAAATAGGAACGCTTTTACACTGTTGGTAGGAGTGTAAATTAGTTCAACCACTGGGGAAGACAGTGTGGTGATTCCTCAAGGATCTGGAACCAGAAATACCATTTGGTCCAGCAATCTCATTACTGGGTATATACCCAAATGATTATAAATCTTCTACTATAAAGACACACGCATACATGTGTTCACTGCAGCACTATTTACAACAGCAAAGACTTGGAACCAACCCAAATGTCCATCAATGATAGACTGGATAAAGAAAATGTGTCACATATACACCATGGAATACTATGCAGCCATAAAAAAGAATGAGTTAATGTCCTTTGCAGGGACATGGATGGAGCTGGAACCCATCCTCAGCAAACTAACACAGGAACAGAAAAACACCCTATGTTCTCACTCATAAGTGGGAGCTGAACAATGAGAATACATGGACACAGGGAAGGGAACATCACACACTGGGGCCTTCTGGGGCATGTGGGAAAAGGGGAGGGAGAGGATTAGGACAAATACCTAATACACACAGAGCTTAAAACCTAGATGATGAGTTGATAGGTGCAGCAAACCACCACGGCACATGTATACCAATGTAACAAACCTGCACATTCAGCACATGTATCCCAGAACTTAAAGTCAAATAAAAAATTAAAATAAAAAAATTCCTCTCCAAAAAAAAGAGGTACAACATAACAACAATATTCAACAATATTCAGGTAATACCTTTAGACATGAGATACTGAGCTAGAGACTGGGAATTAAAGCCCTGAGCACACCAGACACTGCACTACACTACACATTCATGGAGGTCGCAGTTTAGTGGGAGATAGTAGATTTTAAACAAATCAAATATATATGTGACTATATATGTATTTAACTACAACTCTGATAAATGATATAAAGGAAAAGTATATAATAATTTCTATTTATACAGGGAGAAGAATTGGCTGGTGTGGGAGATCAGAAAGCTTTGCTGAGTGATTGCCTTTTAATGAATGTGTAGGAGTAACTAGGTGAAGGCAATTGAAAACAGGGATTCAGAAAGAGGAAAAATGTACATATGAAGGAACTGAAGTAGGCTTTTTGCAGGGTTAGTGAGGTCAGATTGCCTAGAGCATAATGAAAAGAACAGAGACTGGCAAGAAATGAGGCTTGAAAGGTATTCAGGGAACAGATCATGCAGGGGCTAGACAGATGGTACTTGAAAGGACTGGCTAGCCATGCAAAAAAGTTAGGTCCTCATCTTGTGGGTGGAATTTGGGGATATATTCAGGCTTTTGTGAATCAACAAATTTATTCAAAAGCAAGATACAGATATACCTTTGCATTCTAAAACTGTGACACTGTTAATCATACTGTTCTTTGAAGATTTTTTCACATGCATTAATTGATATTTCTTTACAATTTTTTGAAAAAGGTCAGTAAGGCATAAGCATTGTAATTTTACAGGTAAAGAAAATGTAGCAAAGTAAGTTGAAGTGACTATCCTAAATTTTCATAAAAGTTAGCTGATGTTATATGATTCCTAAATTATTTCTTTTCTATTTAGATTGCATTGAGGGCTATTATACAAAAAAGCTCATAAGATCTTTAAAGTGCTTATAGATTCTCCCTTATTTTTTATTCTATTTGAGACCCAATTTTCCTATTCCTCATAATTATTCCCTTTATCAGTTCAGAAAAGTGGTTTATTCATCCTGTTTCTGTTTTTTTTAATAAAATAAAGTGGAGATAATAGCCTTCAAGAGTGATATCAAAACTAACTAGGTGATATTTATTAAAAGCGCTGATGTTGGAAACATTACATAAGAACTAAGCATTAGTCTTATCTCATATGGGGCTATGGGAGAAATAACTAATCAATTATTTCAACATGTTTAGAAATTCAAAGCACAATGCAAATACTAATCAAGCATACCATGCATAAATGTAAATTCATTAGTAGAGAATATAGAAGATGCAAAACTTTTGAGTGTGGTAACAAATATCCAAAAGTGTTATATATTTCATGTACCTCATGAAAATGAATATGAAAAAGGCATGGACTGTTGCATTCTCATGCTTCGAGTACCCAGCATTATATAAATGAATGATAGCAATTAAGTCTCCTTCAAAATTATTTTGCAAGTGACAGAGTCTCTCCTTGACCAAACCGTAGATGGGCTTCTCTGAGCCCTCTTTTCAACTTGGCCTCATCCTTGGGCCTGGTCCCCAAGCCCATCCCAATTGTAACAAGAATCCTGTTCACTGTACTATTTACAATAGCAAAGACATGGAATGAACTTAATGCCCGTCAATGGTAAACTGGATAAAGAAAATGTGGAACATAGATACCATGGAATACTACACAGCCATAAAAAAGAATGAAATTATGTCCTATGCAGCAACAAGGATAGAGCTGGAGGCCATTATCCTGAGCGGACCAACACAGGAACAGAAAAACAAATACCACATGTTCTCACTTTTAAGTGGAGGCTAAACATTAAATACGTATGGACACAAATAAGGGAATCAAAGATCCAGGGCCTACTTGAGGGTGGAGGTTGGGAGCAGGGTGTGAATCAAAAACTTTTTGTCAGGTACTATACTTATTATGTGGCTGATGAAACACTCTGTACACCAAACCCCCACACCCCCACAACATGCAATTTACCTATATAATAAACCTGCACATGTACCCCTGAACCTAAAATAAAATTAAGAAAACAAAAACTAAAAAAAAAAAAACAAAGGCAGATTGTCAGAATGTATAAAAAAGCAAGGCCCATCTAAATGCTGCCTACAAGAAGTATATTTTAAATAAAAAGACACACATTGGTTAAAGGATAGAACAGGATATACCACATTAACACTTGACAAAAGAAGGCTGATGGGGAGTGGCTATTTAATACTACAGTAGATTTCATAGTAAAAATATTACCAGCAATAAGCAAGGTCATTTCATAATGATAAAAGTTTTAATTAATCAAGAAGATATGACAGTCCTATACATTTATGTACCTAATAACATAAAAGTTTCCGAATACATGATACAAAGAAAATGAACAGAACTGCAAAAGAAATAGACAAATTAAAAAGTATAGTCTGAGATTTCTGTATCCCTTTACTCAGTTGATAGAACAAGGAGACAGAAAATCAGCAAGAATAGAGGAGACTTGAATACATTCTCCTCAAGTACCCATGGAACACTTACCAAAATAGAGCTTACTCTAGCTCATACAATATATCTTAATAAAATGATTAAGTCAAAAGGATTTAAGTCATATGAAACATATTCCTTGACTAAAAAGCAATCAAATTAGAAATCAATAACAAAATTATATCTGGAAAAACTCAACCATTTGGAAACCAAGTAACACAGATCCAAATAACCCTGGGTCAGAGGTAATAAAAATAGAAGTTAGAAAGTATTTTTAACTAAGTGAAAATGAAAATACAACATATCATAAATTGTGGAATGCAGCTACAACAGTATTTAAATAAAAATTTTCAACACTGATATCTGTAATAGAAGAGTCTCAAATCAATGACTTTGACTTCTACCTTAAGAAACTAGAAAAAAAGAAGAGAAAATTAAACCCAAAGGAAGCAGAGGAAAGGAAATGATAAATACATGTTATGGTCTGAGTTTTTATGTTCCTCCAAAATTTATATGATAAAGCCACATCACAGAGGTGACATTATTAGGAGGTGGGGCTTTGTGGACATGATTACATCATGGGGGCCAAGCCCTCATAAGTTGATCAATGTTCTTAAGCAGGTGACCCAAGAGATCCCCTTAACCTCTTCTGCCATGTAGGGTCACGGGGAAGATAATGCATGTATGAACCATGAAGTGATCCCTCACCAGACATCAAATCTGACAGCACCTCGATCTTGGACTTTGCAGTTTCCAGAACTGTGAGAAATCAATTTCTTTTGTTTGTGAGTTACTCAGTCTATGGTATTTTGTTACAGCAGGATGAAAAGACTAAGATGTCAAAGCTGAAACCAATAAAACAGAAAAACTGTGGGAAATATCAATACCACCAAAGAATTTGAGGAGTTCAAGAAAAGTAATAAAGCTTTATCTAGTCAGACTGTTCAGGAAAACAAGAAGATACAAATTAATAACTTTGGAAATGAGTAATGTGATAATATTATAGATTCTATAGATACTTTTAAAAAACAAGGCAATATTACAAAATTTATGTGAATAAATATGGCAATTTAGCCAAAATTGAAAAATTCCTTGAGAAATAAAAATTACCGAATCTCAATCAACAGAGGATAATCTGTATTGCCCTATATCTATAAAAGAAAATTTAGCCATAGTTGAAAACCTTCCTACAAAAAGCTCCAGACCCAGATAGCTATACTGCTAAGTTTTACCAATATTTTAGGAAGAAATAATATAATTTTACATAAACTCTCCCCCAGAAATAAAAAGGAGTACATACCAACCCATTCAATAATGTTAGCATTACCCTCAACCAAAACCAGACAAGGATTTTACAAATAAGAAAACTTCCTCATGAGCATGGATGTATAAATTCAACCAATTTTTGAAGCAAGCAAGATATCCTCCAATAGGTGAATGAGTAAAATGTGTTACAGCCATATAATAGCATATTACTCAGTGATAAAAATAAATGAAATATCAAGCTATGAAACGACATGGAGGAACTTAACTGCATATTACGAAGTAAAAGAAGTCAATCTGAAAAGGCTTCTTACTGCATTGTTCCAACTACGCAACATTCTGGAAAAAGCAAAATTATGAATATGGTAAAAAGATCACTGGTTGTCAAAGGATTGGCAAGAGAAGAAAAGAATACATTGGCAGAGCAGAGGGTTTTTAGGGAAGTGAAAATACCTTACATGTTACTGTAATGATAAACACATGTCATTATACCTTTGTGTAAAGCCATGCAATGTACAACAACAAGAGTGAACCCTAATGTAAACTATGGACTTTGAGTGATTAAATGTCAATGTAGGATCATCCATCAAAGCAACTGTACCACTGTGGTGAGCAATATTCATCATGAGGGAGGCTGTGCATGTGTGGAGGCAGGGGTATATAGAAAATCTCTGTATCTTTCTCTCAATTTTGCTGTGAACATAAAACTGCTCTCAACAAGTAGTCTTTCTAAAAAAGAAAAAAAGAATCCAGCTAACTAGTATACAGCCTCTATGAAGAACATTATAGCCCTTTATCGATAAGCTAAAAATATAACTACCATATAATGCAGCAAATCTGCTTGGTATATACTCGAAAGAAAATCAATGTATCAAAATGATATCTATACTCTCATGTTTATCACAGCACAATTCACAATAATGAAGATACAGAATAAACCTAAGGCTGAACCTAAGGGAATCAACCATCAATGGATAATTTTTTTTAATGTGGTATACACAGTGTGTGTGTGTGTGTGTGTGTGTGTGTGTGTGTATACCACATTAAATAAAACCTATTTATCCATTGATGAACATTTAGGTGAATTCCATATCTTCTTTATATATATATATAAAATATAATGTAATATAATGTAAGTATATATATAGTACTCCATCTATATATAATGGAGTACTATTCAGACATAAAAATAATGAGATCCTTCATTTGCAACATGGATGGGACTGAAGGACAATGATAAGTGAAATAAACCAGGCACAGAAAGACAAAAGACAAACATCATATGCTATCACTAATAGGTGGGAACCAAAAAAAAAAAGAAAAGAGAACTAGGGATAGAGAGTAGAATGATGGCTACTGGGAAGGGTCATGGGAAGGGAGTTTGTTAATGGGAACAAAAATACAGTCAGATATAGAAAGAATAAGATTCAATGTTTGGTAGCACAATAAGATGACTATAGTTAAATGGTTTATTCTATATTTCAACATAACTAAAATGGTAAAATTGGAATGTTCATAACACAAATAAATGATAAATGCTTGAGGTGATGGATTTCTGGCTTACCTAATTTGATCATTACACACTGTATGCTTGTATCAAAATATTACATGTATCCCATAAATATGTACAACTATTATGTAGCCATAAAAATTAAAAATTAAAACAAAGAATCTTGCTAAGTCAGTTTAACAAGAATTCCCCACCCTTGATATCTAATCATCTGGCTTGCCTTCAACAAGAATCCCATTAAGTCAGTTTAGCAAGAATCCTTCTCTGATTAATTTTCCATCTACTGATGCCTTCACTTTGCTCATTGTCTACAAATCCCCAGCTGTTGTTCCTGTATTTGGAGTTGAGTCTGCTCTTTTTACCCTATTGCAAAAATCATGACATCTATTGCAAAAATCATGACATCTATTGCTAATAATTCTGCATAAAGTCTTCCTCATGTTTTAACTAGTGTCAGAATAATATTTCTTTGTTACTGGTAATTGCCTTTATGCAATCTTTTTTCCTTTTTTACTGCTACTTTCCCACTCTCTCTCTTGAAAAGAATCTAATAATCTAAACCACGAGATTTGAAATTATTAAATTTTGGCATTTGTTTTAAATAACATAGTTTTTATCTACTATCAAAAAGGAATTTAATATGAGGTAAATATCTTGTAGAGATGACTTTGAAATATGTCATTATGATTTGTGTGTGCATATTTCATCTAAATTCAACAATTCGCAGCAGAAAAAGCATGTACCACTGAGGCAAGACAATTCCATATATTTAGGAGTGGAAAGCAAACTGAGCATTATTTATTTATTTTTAAAACATATTCTCACTAGTTTTACATTTCTGTAATCGTGATCATATGTAGACAGGGCTTACATAAATATTGTCAATAATAATTAATATTATTACTGAGCTTGATAAAGACACATTCATTTCAACCTTTCACCCCCTTAATTATTTATTTGCATGTTGGAAACTATATGGAAAGAATTTCACAATATGCATTTTTCTCTTATAATTTAAAAAGATACTTCAGAAACTGTTTAGGTATGGAATCATTTCAATGTGTATCTCATTGTGTATTTCAATGTGTATTGCATATGTCAGATGAACACTCTTTGATTCAATGGTTTAAATGCTTTAGCATTAGAAATATTGTTTTAACATTTGACTTGTGCATGTATGCCCACCTGAGTGTGTGTGTGTGAGTGTGAGTGTAGACACTACACACCGGGGAATGTTGTGGGGTGGAGGGAGGGGGGAGGGATAGCATTAGGAGATATACCTAATGCTAAATGACGAGTTAATGGGTGCAGCACACCAAACATGGCACATGTATACATATATAACAAACCTGCGCGTTGTGCACATGTACCCTAAAACTTAAAGTATAATAATAATAAAAAAAGAAAAATATTACTATGGTTAAAAAAACTTTTTTAACCTTTTATTTTGTATTTAAATCTATGGTTAGAAAATAAGATTGTTTAGAATAAAATACTATCTTTTATTTTTTCTGCTATTCTATAAAGCTCTTTTTTTAACCTGAATAAATATTTTTAAAAATCTGTGTGTTATTTGTGAGGTAAAGTGCAACTTTAATGCATACATGTCTGCTAAAGAAAACAGATAAGCTTATCTAAACATCATTTTATCTGCCCAATTGTCAGCTTTCATTTTATCACCAAATGTATTTCATTACCAAATGGCAAGAATGATATTTTAAATCTCAGCTGATGAATTATTTAAAACATTTTTCAACAATTATTATCTTTCAGAAAGTTTAAAGTCAATCAATGGTAAAATGAAAGAAAACATTTGCAAGTTAATCAAAAGTATCCACTACATAGACAAACATATAATTTAATAGATATATATAGATTTTTATCAGAATATGAATTTGTCACTGGATTTTTATTCACATGTTTCTGTATCTATTTTTTTCTATTTAATATATTTTATGTTTAATATATTTTCTCCCTCATCTATTTCTTGAGCAATTTATATTACCACCCCCCACCACAAAACCACTACTTCTTCCTCATTCCTCAATGATCAACCATCTTGTAAAATAAAACCTTTGGTAAACAATTTGACATATTCTATAGATGGTATTCCTTCAATTGACTTTTTCTCTTCTAAGTTTGAGGACTCTACCTCAGCCAAACAAAATTACAGGCACAAAATTAATTGAACTTCAGAAATATAAAGCTATTCATCTGCCTTCGTTTATAATTCAACACAATATTGACCTCAAAATGCCTTTCAGACTGGTCTAACATCTTTAACTTCAATGAACTCCTTAACCTTTAGAATTCCTCACCTCCTTGATCACTTTGCACTTCCATATTTCTCAAGTGTTATTTCCAAAAATGCGCAGCATTTAAAAAGAATTAACAGGATAAATACACTAATTTTAAATTTAATTACATACAGTGCAAGAAGAATAGATTTAAGTGAAATATCAGTATTTAGGTAGAGATTGTTTTTTCAAGAACATCTTGTGTCATGTACTATGATTTATTTTACTACAAGGTGTCTTCGCACTTAAGCAGAATGTCCACTAGAGTGCTGCAAGTATCCATTCAAGTCAGTCACTGTTCTGCGCAGACATTCTATTAATGATAAAAACAATAAGGCTGATATATCTTTAGAACTTACGGGCCACAATCAGTGAAGAAACACCAAGATTCATTTAAACTATGCATAGTTTTATCTGTTGTACATTTATGCTGATAACCCTTTATTAGGTTAGATGCAGAAAGTATATAGATATAATTGAAATAAAGTCAATCTCTCGGTTAATAAAAATTAGTTTTACCATCTTGCTATCGGCACTTCTACAACTCACTTCATTTTAATAATATATATATATTATTATATATATATATATATAGACAAGTATCCATAGAATCATTGTTTACAAATAATTTCTTAATTTTTATTTACAAAGAATATAGGTAATGCTGGAGATGAACTTTGATTAAATTTCTAAGATATATTGTTTAGCTTATATATCTATTCACTATATCAATGAAAATATTTTTGAAAAAGGTGCTCCTTTTTAATGTTTTACTGGTTTTAATTTTAAAGTTCAACTTAACACCTGTAATGCATATTTCTTGTCCTTAGAAATGAGTTTTTTTTTTTAAGATCAGGCAATATTTTATATCTCTTTATAGCTGCAGTGTATACTATGTATTTTAACAAATAAAATGTGAATATTCATCATTTAAGAATAGATGGATGAATACAATGCATTTACTAGCAAGCATCAAGAAAAGCACTTGCCCTAGCATGTATATATTTTATTTTCTGTATTGTTTACTGTTACTTACCTTTAGTATTAGTTTACATGAAATATCTTATTTCTTCTGTTAGAATTAGAAGTATAGGGTAGTGATGTTTTCATTTTAAATATAAATTGAGAAACAGTTTGTTCTATATATTGTTGATAAATACTACACTGGAATTCAGA
This sequence comes from Homo sapiens, assembly GCF_000001405.40. NCBI lineage: Eukaryota > Metazoa > Chordata > Mammalia > Primates > Hominidae > Homo > Homo sapiens. The sequence goes on along the minus strand of NC_000006.12, from coordinate 62,448,254 downwards.
TCTCCTTAGAAGAGAGCTATTTAAATGATTTTTTTATGATACTGCCTAGAATTTGCCAGAATCTCCATGTCTGATCAGTTTATAGCTCAGGAAAATGTGCTATATTTTAATTGCAAACATGTCACTACACACTAACGAAGTATAAACAGTTAACTTCAAGTTAATTAACATAAGCATTTCTCAAATAAGGCCAAGAACTTGTATTTTCACCAAAGTCAAACGAGTAAACAAGAGATCAGAGTCATTAAGTTCCTACTTCTGTTGATTTGTCTCAAGGATTAATGGATGCACTTATATTTATATGACTGCACGTGCACGATTGCCCGTTGTTGCCAGATAGAGCCAGTTGGTGAGACAGGTATATTCATCTCTTCCGTAAAACTCCACAGCTTCCCAATGCATGCAAGTATTCACTTGGTTTTGCATGACACTGGAGGCAAAACTGTAACTCCAGGCTCACTTCCCACAAAAATCCTTCATAAATGCTATCACTTAAATCATTTTCTGCCCTGCCTCTGTATGCATCATGCTCTCTTTTTCTGAAATACTTATTTCCCAAGTCAGCTCAAATTTCAGTTCATTTGTAATGCCTTCTATGAATCCCAAATTGGAAATAATTGCTTTCTTATTTAGAATCCCACAGGATTTTGTTTACAGATCTAATTTTAATATTATCATATGTATTTCTCTCTGTCTTACAATTAGTCTATTTTTACAAATGTATTTCTCTCTGAAAACCGACTAATTGAATCACTTATTCATTCATTTGATGAATACCTGCAGGTATACATCAATGATTATCTACTATAAGTGGTCAATGAGCACCTATTGTGAGCTCAGAATTGTTATAGGCCCTGAGAATAAAATAGTGAACATGACAAAAATTCCTGCCTTCACAGAGTTTCCAGAATGTAGCTAAGTCAGGTTATAAATAAGTACAAACATGAATATATACTATAATTGCAGGAAATAAATACTATAGAAAAAGTAAAGCAGACTAAGAAAATCAAGAGCGATTACAAGTTTCCTCTTTGTGGAGAAAGAAAAGTTGAGATCTGACTGCCTAAAGGAGGCAAGACATTCACTGTCTAAGGAAGGAGTGATTGAAAGAGAGGAAGTAGCAAGTGCAAAGAATAGAGATAGAGTAAATTTATAGAGAACATAGAGATTAGCAAAGGGGAAATGAAAGAAGAAAAGTTCAGAGAGTGGAAAATTATATCTTATCACCATGCTTAATCTTCCCTTGTTTCTTGTATTTCATACCACATTTAGTACACAAGATTTTACACAGAGTATGTACTCAATAGTAATACAATGTTGTGATTTTGAGGTAAGCAAAATCTGGATTTGAATTGAAGTTTATCTCTTTATTTGTTTAATGACCTTGACCTATTTGTTTAATGACAAGCTTGTTGACTTAATAGAACTGGTAAAACGCCTTAGAGAATTCAAAGTCTTTCTGCATTGAAAATCAGTTCCAACAGAGCACTGTTTTGCTCCAAAGAACAAAGTTCTTGAACTAGGCTCATCTACCTGAACTTTAGCATTCCCTGTTTAAATTGTTCTGCATTAAGTTCTGAGGTTGACTTTTTCCACTTTCTTTCTAGATAAGACAGACAACTGAAAAAAATCTCATTCAAATGATGTAAAACACCAGCTGATGAACATCAAATTTTGCCAATCAGTTTATGTCTATGATAAAAAGCATTTTGAGATGAGAAATAGTTATAGTGATTCTCTTCTATTTTCAATGTGTAGGTAAAAATCAGGGTCAGTAGTGAAAATGTTTTTTCTCAAATTCTAGAAGACTATACAAATGCTATCAGTCCCGCCAGAATTATCTATTGTTCTCTTTGAGATAGAATAATCTTCAGATAGTACTCATGTCCTGCACTTACAGACTTCCTACCAGTCTTCTTACATATGTTGGTAGAAAATACTGGTGATTTTAAATGTGAATTGAAGCAGTGTCTTCATTTACTTCTTTGATGAGAGCCCGAGAGCTAGAAGCATACTTAATATGCTTGAGAGGCTTGGGATGGCTTTACTAGAGAATAATAAAATAAATAGAATAATTTTACTTTTTAATATATTTACTTGCAGCATATGCCCTGAAAAAGTAATATAGACTAATTAATTATGAGTTTAGGAACAAATTTTTTATCCATCTTATTTCTACTAACATCCTCCTTTGTGTTTCCACTCTTCCTTTGTGTTCCTTTGTGCCTTCATACCCTGGAAAACATAACCTGTTCTTTTAAATCTCTGTGAATTGGCATATTTTGCTTCCTTTGGTATCCTAGTCTCCCTTTACCAGTTCTCATCTTTAAAAATCTCCTGTTTTGCACTCAGCTACGGCCACCCCCAACCCGTTTTGGACCCCATCTCACTGCTGCTCAAGTAAGCACATCCTTGTGTACCCTGGTTGAGCGGCCATTGCTGATGTGCATGTGCACAGATGCCAGAGGCCTTGCTCCCCAGCCTGCACTTTCACTGCCGTGGGAGCAAACGTGTGCATGGAGTCCAGCAGCCCTGCAGCCTACCAGTGCCCAACCACCGTGCCGACACTGCTGCCAGTATGGACAAGCACATAAATGCCAGCAGCCCTGCCCCTGGCCCCATGGTGCCACCACTGCCACTGCAAACATGCACAGGGAGGCTGGCAGCCCCACGCCCACTAGCTCCCCATCCCAGTCAACCTGTATGTACCCCGTTATGCTGTTGCTCCTGCTGGAATGTGCAAATAAGCAGAGATCTCAGTGCCATTGCACAAACAAAGCACATTGGTTGGCATCACACATTAGAGCACTGTGGCCCGTAGTCTAGGACCACCATGGCCTTTCCAGCACAACAGCTTTCTAACCTAAACAGACCAGAGAACAAAGCTACTTGCCCAATATCAGCCCCAAAAATTTATGGCATGCAGCCCAGGAGCGTTAACTGAGACTTGGGCCCCTATAATCTTCCATAAACAAAGTCAACTGACTGAACACACATTATACTACAATGAAACCCTCAATGGCATCAAAGAAGATAAAATTTAAAAAAAAACCTATCTAAAGAACAGCAATTTTAAAGATTAAAGAAACATCAGCCCACATAGTCGAGAAAGAACCAGAACAAGAAACTCTGGCAACTCAAAAAACCAGAGTGTATTCTTACCTCCAAATGCCCATAGTACTTCCCCAGTAATGGTTCTTAGCCAGGCTGAAATGTCTGAAATAACAGACATAGAATTAAGAGTATGGATAGAAAAAAAGATAATCAAGATCCTAGAGAAAGATGAAACCTAACACAAAAATTCTAAGGAATACAATAAAATGATGCAGAAAATAAAAGATGAAATGGTCATTATAAGAAAGAATCAAACTGATCTGATACAGCTGCAAAACTCACTTCAAGAATTTCACAATGCAATTGCAAGTATTAAAAGCAGAATTGTCCAGTCTGAGAAAACAATTTGGAGTTAAAAAACCAGTTCTCTGAAATAACTCAGACAAAAATTAAGAAAAAAAATTAAAGAAGAATGAACAAAACTCTGAGAAATATAGGATTATGTAAAGAGATAAAATATATGACTCGTTGGCATCCCTGAAGAGAATGAGAGAAAGCAAGCAACTTGAAAAACATATTTGAGAATATCACCCATGAAAATAGCCCTATCATCATTAAAGAGGCTGACATTCAAATTCAGGAAATGCAGAGAACCCCCAGAAGATAGTACATAAGAAAACTATACCCGAGACACATAGTAATCAGATTCTCCAAGGTCAAAATGAAAGAAAAAATGTTCAAGGCAGCTAGAGAGAAGAAGCATGATACATACAAGGGATCCCCATTAGGCTAAAAGAAGACCACTCAGCAGAAATGCTACAAGTCAGAAGAGACTGGGGGCATATATTCAGCATTCTTAAATAAAGCAAACTCCAACATTTCATATCCAGCCAAATTAAGCTTCATAAGCTAAGGAGAAATAAGATCCATTTCAGGCAAATAAATGCTAAGGGAATTCATTACCACTGGACTTGCCTTTCAACAGGTCCTGAAGGGAATGCTGTATATGAAAATAGAAGAACATTACCAGCCATTACAAAAATACTGATGTACATAGACCATTGACACTATTAAGCAATGATACAAACATGTGCATACAATAAACAGCTAACAACATGATGACAGAATGATCAAATCCACACATATTAATATTAGCCTTGAATGTGAACAAGCTAATTGTTCCAATTAAAGGACACAGAGTAGCAAGTTGGATAAAGAAGCAAGATCCAACTGTGTACTGTCTTTAAGATACGCATCTCAAATGCAATAATGCCCATAGGCTCAAAGTAAAAGGTTGGAAAAAATCTACCAGTAAAATGGAAAACAGAAGAAAGAAGGGGATAATAATCCTCTTTCAGACAAAACAGACTTTAAACCAAGAAAGATTTAAAAAGATAAAGAAGGGCATTGCATAATGCTAAACAGTTCAATTCAACAAGAAGAAGACCTAACTATGCTAAATATATGCCCCCCAACACAGGAGCACCCAGATTCATAAAGCAAGTCCTTAGAGACCAACAAAGAAACTTCTATTACCATACAAAAATAAAGGGGGGCTTCAGTACCCCACTGAAAGTATCAGACAGATCATCAAGGCAGAAAACTAAGATATTCAGGACCTGAACTCAGCACTGGATCAAATATACCTGATAGATATATACAGAATTGCCTACTGAAAAATGAAAATTATACAGTCCTTTCATCAGCACATGGCACATACTCTAAATTGACCACACAATTGGCCATTAAAACAACAACAACAACAAAGAAAACCTCATTAAATGCAAAAAAAAAGAAATACTAGCAAACACACTCTCAGACCACAATACAATGAAAATATAAGTCAATGCTAAGATTGTTCAAACCACAGAATTACATGAAAATTAAACAACCTGCTCCTGAATGACTTTTGGGTGAACAATGAGATTAAGGCAGAAATCAAGAAGTTATTTGAAACTAATAAAAATGAAGATACAACATATGAGAAACTCTGGGACACAGCTAAAGCATTGTTGAGATGGAAGTTTATAGCACTAAGTGTCCACATCAAAAAGCTACAAAGATCTCAAAATAACAACCTAACATCATACCCTACAGGAATTAGAGAAGAAAGAGCAAACCAATCCCAGAGCTAGCAGGAGACAATAAATAACCAAAATTAGAGCTAAACTAAAGGATGTTGAGACACAAAAATCCATACAAAACTTGAGTTCATGAGTTACTTTCTTGAAAAAAATAAGTAAGACAGATATACCACTAGCTAGAATAACAAAGAAAAAAAGATCAAAATAAACACAATACAAAATGACAGAGGACATTAACACTGATGCCACAGAGATACAAAAATCATCAGAGGCTACTACAACACCTCTATTTACTTACGCTAGAAAACGTATAAGATATTGATAAATATCTGGAAACATACAACCTCCCAAGATTGAACCAGGAACAGACTGAATCACTGAACAGACCATTAATGAGTTCCAAAATTAAGTCAGTTATAAAAGGCTTACCAACCAGAAAATGCCCAGGACCAGATGACTTCACTCCTGAATTCTACCAGATGTTTGAAGAAGAACCAGTATCATTTCTACAGAAACTATTCCAAAAAATTGAGGAGAAACTCCTCCTTAACTCATTCCATCAAGCCAGCAGCATCCTCATACCAAAACCTGGCGCACGCGCACACACACGCACACACCCCCCAACCTTCTGGCCAATATCTTTGATGAATATAGATGTAAAAATTCTCAACAAAATACTAGCACATTGAATCCAGCAGTACATCAAAAAGCTAATCCATCATGATTAAGTAGGCTTTATCCCTGGGATATAAGGTTGGTTCAACATGTGGAAATAAATAAATGTGATTCCACAAATAAACATAATTAAAGTAAAAAAGCACATGATTATCTCAATAGAAGGAATAAAGGCTTTTGATAAAATTAAACACAACTTTGTGTTAAAAACCCTCAACAAACTGGGTATTAAAGGAACATACCTCAAAATAATAAAAGCTATCTATAAAGATTACACAGCCAACATCATACTGAAGGGGCAAAACCTGAGCATTCCCCTTGAAAACTGGCACAAGACAAAGATGCTCTCTCCACCATTTCTATTCAACATAGTACTGGAAGTCCTGGCCAGAGCAAGCAGGCAAGAGAAAGAAATAAAGGGCATACAAATAGGAAAAGAGGAAGCCAAACTATCCCTGTTTGCAGATGATATTATTCTGTACCTAAAAAACCCACACTCTCTGTCCAAAATCACCTAAAATTGATAAGCAACTTCAGCAAAGTTTTAGGATAGAAGATCAATGTACAAAAATCAGTAATCAGTAGCATTTCTATACCCAACATCATTTTTGCTGAGCGCAAATCAAGAACACCAATTCACAATAGCCACAAAAAGAATAAAATACCTAGGAATACTGCTAACCAGATAGGTTAACAATCTCTACAAGAATTACAAAGCACTGCTCAAAGAAATCAGAGATGAAATATAGGAGGGAAAATAGCAGATGGGGGGAGGACTAACTTGCAGCTTCCAGTCGAACAAAGACAGTAGTGTATGGAGACTCACACAGTGAACTTTTGCTTGAAGAACTACTGCAGGAACATATCAAGAAAGTCTAGAGAATCCACAGAACCTTTGAAGGAGGTGTATTGCCCCTGCAGGCTCCATGTGACAGCCAGGAACTGTGAGTCTGCTTGCTTTCTCAGCTGGGAGGCTTGTACCCTTGGGCAAGTCCTCAGCTCTGCTCACCAGCTGCAAGAAAATTAACTTGGTGCTGTTGGAAGGACACAGTTGGAGTGAGACTAGCCTTTCGGGCTGTGGGCTGCATGGGAGCTGGGTAAGGCCTGTGGCTGCCAGCTTGCCCCTGCTTTCCTGGCCATCTGTGTGATGCAGCAGAGGCAGCCATAATCCCCCTGGGAACATAAGTCCATTGGCCTGAAAATCACACACCCATCCATCACAGCAGCCACAGAATGCCTCACCCAAGGAGAATCTGAGCTCAGACACATCTAACCCTGTTTCCACCTGATGATCTTTCTCTACCTGCCCTGGTAGCTGAAGATGAAAGACATATATCTTGGGTGCCTAAAGGCCCTGCCGACTGCCTGAAAGCACCACCTCCTGACTGGAGGCACTCTTGAAAGCACCACCTTTCGGTTAGAGGCCAAACAACAACAATAAAAAAAAAAGCACACTTAAAAATACAACCAGGGACCCTCACAGAGACCACTTGACTCTGCTACCTCTACCAGAGCAGACACAGGTATCTACAGCTGAGAAAACTGAAGATTAATCACATCACAGGACTCTTTGCAGACATTCCCCAGTATCAGCCCAGAGCCTGGTAGCTCCACTGGGTGGCTAGACCCAGAAGAGGAATACCAATAACTGCAGTTTGGCTCTTAGAAAGCCCCATCTTTAGGGGATAGGGGTGACCACAACATCAGGGGAGCACCCTATGGGACAATAGAATCTCAACAGCAGCCCTTGAGCCCAACGTCTTCCCTCTGACATAGTCTACATAAATGAGAAGGAACCAGAAAAACAATCCTCATAATATGGCAAAACGAGCTTCTTTAACACCCCCAAAAGATCACACTAGCTCTCCAGCAATGGATCCAAACCAAGATGAAATCTCTGAATTACCAGAAAAAGAATTCAGAAGTTTGACTATTAAGCCAATCAAGGATGCACCAGAGAAAGGTGAAGTCCAACTTAAAGAAATAAAAAATAATAATAATGCAGGATATGAAAGGAAAATTCTTCAGTGAAATAAATAGCATAAAGAAAAAACAACCACAACTTCTGGAAATGAAGGACACACTTAGAAAATTGCAAAATGCACTGGAAAGTCTTGGCAATAGAATCAAACAAGCAGAAGAAAGAACTTCAGAGCTCGAAGACACAACTTTCAAATTAACCGAATCTGACAAAGAGAAAGAAAAAATAGTTTTTAAAAAATGAACAAAGCCTCTAAGAAGTTCGGGATTATATTAAATGACCAAACCTAAGAATAACTGGAGTTCCTGAGGAAAAAGTTTGGAAAACATATTTGAGGGAAAAATCAAGGAAAACTTCCCAGGCCTTGTTAGATATCCAGATATCCAAATACAGGAAGCTCAAAGAATACCTGGGAAATTCATCACCTGGGTGCATAGTCATCAGGTTATCTAAAGACAAGATGAATGAAAGAATCTTAAGATCGTCACCTAGGCAAATAGTCATCAGCTTATCTAAAGACAAGACGAAGGAAAGAATCTTAAGAGCTGTGAGGCAAAAGCATTAGGTAAACTATAAAGGAAAACTTATTAGTTTAACAGCAGATTCCTCAGCAGAAATCCCACAAGCTAGAAAGAATTGGGGTCCTATTTTTAGCCTCTTTAAACAAAACATCTATCAGTCAAGTATTGTGTCCAGTGAAACTAAGCTTCATAAATGAAGGAAATATAAAGTTTTTTCCAGACAAACAAATGCTGAGAGAATTCACCACTACCAAGCCAGCACTACAAGAACTGCTAAAAGGAGCTCTAAATCTTAAAACAAATTATCAAAATACACCAAAATAGGATCTCCTTAAAGCACAAATTTCATAGGACCTATAAAACAACAACACAATGGAAAAAAAAAGGTATTCAGGAAACAAATAGCATGATGAATATAAGAGTACTTCACATCTCAATACCAACATTTAATGTAAATGGCCTAAATGCTCCACTTAAAATATACAGAGAGGAAAAATGGAATTTACTAACCAAGTATCTGCTGTCTTCCTGAGACTCACCTTACATAAGGACTCACATAAACTTAAGGTGAAGGGGTGGGAAAAGATAATCCATGCAAATGGACACCAAAAGTGAGCATTGTAGCTGTTCTTATATCAGACAAATCAAACTTTAAAGAAACAATAGTTAAAAAGACAAAGTGAAACATTATATAATGATAAAAGGACTAGTCCAACAGGAAAATATTACAATAGTAAATATATTGGTACCAAACACTAAAGCTCCCAAATTTATAAAACAATTACTACAGACCTAAGAAATGAGATAGACAGCAATACAATATTGGAGGACTTTAATACTCCACTGACAGCACTAGACAGCTAATCAAGACAGAAAGTCAACAAAGAAACATTGGACTTAATCTATATCCTAGAACAAATGGACTTAATGGATATTTACAGAACGTTCTACCCAACAAGGGATGAATATACATTCTATTCATCAGCATATGGAACATTCTTGAAGATAGACCATATGATAGGCCACAAAACAAGTCTCAACAAATTTAAGGAAATCAAAATTATAACAAATACTTTCTCAGACTGCAGTGGAATACAATTGGAAATCAACTCCAAGGTGAACGCTCCAAACCATGAAAATACATGGAAATTAAATAATGTGCTCCTAAATGATCACTGGATCAACAATAAAATGAAGATGGAAATTAAAAAAAAATCTTTGAACTGAACAATAATAGTGGCACAATCTATCAAAATCTCTGGGATACAGCAAAGGTCATGTTAAGAAGAAAGTTCATACCATTAAATGCCTACATCAGAAAGTCGGAAAGAGCACAAATAGACAATCTAAGGGCACACCTGAAGAAGCTAGAGAAACAAGAACAAACCCAGACCCAGCAGAAGGAAAGAAATAACCAAAATCAGAGCAGAAATAAATGAATTTGAAACAAACAAACAAAAAATCCGGTTCTTTGAAAAGATAAATAAAATTGATGGACCATTAGCAAGATTAACCAAGAAAAGAGGAGGGAAGATCCAAATAAGCTCAATTAGAAATAAAACAGGAGATATCACAACTGCTATCACAGAAATACAAAAGATCTTTCAAAGCTACTATGAAAACTTTACACACATAAAGTAGAAAACCTAGAGATATGGATAAATTTCTGGGAATATACAACCCTCCTAGATTAAACCAGAAAGAAGCGGAAACTCAGAACAGAACAATAGCAAGCAGTGAGATTATAACGGTAATTAAAAAGTTACAAAAAAAAAAGTCCAGAACCATATGGATTCTATCAGATGTTCAAATAAGAATTGTTTCCAATTCTATTTACACTATTCCAAAATATAGAGAAAGAGGAAATCCTCCCTAAATCATTCTATGAAACCAGAATCACCATAATACCAAAACCAGGAAAGGGCATAACAACAACAACAACAAAAACTACAGACCAATATCACTGGTGAACATACTGGAGAAATCATCAACAAAATACTAGCTAACTGAATACAACAGCATATCAGAAAGGTGATCCACCAGGGATGCAGAGATGGTTTAGCATCCACAAATCAATGTACATTATACACCAAATAAACAGAATTAAAAACAAAAATCACATGATCATCTCAATAGATGCAGAAAAAAATTGACAAAATTCACATCTTTTCATGATTAAAATCCTCAGCCAAATTGGCGTACAAGGGACATACCTCAATGTAATAAAAGCCATATATGACAAACCCACAGCCAACATAATACTAAGTGTGGGGAAAGTTGAAAGCATTTCCCCTGAGAACTGGAACAAGACAAGGATGCCCACTTTCACCACTTCTATTTGACATAATACTGGTAGTCCTAGCCAAAGCAATCAGACAAGAAAAAGAAATAAATGTCATCCAAGTCAGTAAAGAGGAAGTTAAACTGTTACTGTTTGCTGAGGACATGACTGTATACCTAGAAAACCCTAATGACTCATCCAAAAGGCTTCTAACTGGTATATGAATTCAGCAAAGTTTCAGGATACAATATTAATGTACACAAATCATTAGCTATGCTGTATGCCAACAGTGACCAAGCAGAGAATCAAGAACTCAACTGCTTTATGATAGCTGAAAAATTAATAAAAGAATAAATAAATAAATAAATAGATAAATCAAACAAAGTTAGGGATATACTTATTCGAGAAGGTGAAAGGTCTCTACAAGAAAAACTATAAAACATTGCTAAATGAAATCATAGATGACACAAACAAATGGAAACACATCCCCTGGTCATGAAAGGGTAGAATCGATATTGTGAAAATGATCGTACTGCCAAAACAATCTACAGATTCAATGCAATTCCATCAGAATACCACCATTATTCTTTACAGAATTGGAAAAAAGCAATCCTAAAATTCATATGGAACCAAAAAAGAGTCCACATAGCCAAAGCAAGACTAAACAAAAAGAACAAATCTGGAGGCATTTCATTACCTGACTTCAAACTATACTATAAGGCTGTAGTCACCCAAACAGCATGGTACCAGTATAAATACAGGCATATAGACCAGTGCAACAGAATAGAGAACCAGAAATAAAGCCAAATACTTACAGCCAACTGATCTTTCACAAAGTAAGCAAAAGCATAAACTGAGGAAAGGACACCCCATTCAACGAATGGTGCTAGTATAATTGGCAAGCCACATGTGGAAGAGAGGGGGCTGAGGGATAAAAGACTAGACATTGGGTACCATGTATACTACTCAGGTGATGAGTGCACCAAAATCTCAGAAATCATCACTAAAGAACTAATTCATATAACCAAACACCACCTGTTCCTCCAAAACCTACTGAAATTTTTAAAAAAAGAAAAAAAAATCAGAGATAACATAGAAATGGAAAAATATTACATGCTATGGATAGGAAAATTCAATATTGTTAAAATGGCCATACTGCCCAAAGCAATTTACAGATTCAATGCTATTCCTATTAAACTGTAAAGGAAATTCTTCACAGAATCAGAAAACAAACAAACAAAAAAAGCTGTCTTAGAATTCACATGGAACAGCAAAAAAAAAAAAAAAAAAAAAAAAGAGCCTGGCAAGCCAAAGCAATCCTAAGCAAAGAAAACAAAGCTGGAGGCATCATCTTATATGACTTCAAATGCCACTACAAAGCTACAGTAATGAGAACAGCATGGTGCTAGTACAAAAATAGACACATAGAACAATGCAACGGAATAGAGAACGTTGAAATAATGCTGCACCATCAACCATCAACCATCTTATCTTTGACAAAGTCAACAAAAGCAAGCAATGAGGAAATAATCTCCTGTTCAATAAATGGTGCTTTGATAACTGGTTATCTATATGCAGAAGACCCCTTCCTTACACCATCTATAAAACTCAACTCAAGATGGATTAAAGACCTAAAGTTCAAACCTAAAAGTATAAAAATCCCTGAAAAATAACCTAGGGGAAATCATTATGGACATAGGATGGATCAAAGATTTCATGATAAAGGTGCCAAAAGCAATTGCAACAAAACCAAACATTATCAAATAAGACCTAATTAAACTGAAGACCTTCTGCACAGCAAAAGAAACTATCAAGGGCATACAGAGAACCCACAGAATGGGAGAGAATATTTGCAACCCATGCATCTGACAAAGGTCTAAGATCCGGAATCTATAAAACAAAAACAAATTAATGATCAAAAACTAACAACCCCATAAAAAAAGTGAGCAAAGGACATGGACAGACACTTCTCAAAAGAAGACATACATGCAGCCAACAAGCATAGGAAAAAATACTGAACATCCCTAATCATTAGGAAAATGCAAATCAAAGCCAGAAGAAGATACCATCTCATATCATTCAGAATGGCTATTATTAAAATGTCAAAAAACAATGAATGCTAGTGAGGCTGCAGAGAAAAGGAAACACTTATACAGTGTTTGTGGCCAACTCAGTATAATGTTGGCTGTGGGTTTGTCATAGATGGTTCTTATCATTTTGAAGTATGTTCCTTTGATGTCTGGTCTGTTGAGGACTTTTATCCTGAAAGGATGTTTGATTTTATTGGAAGCTTTCTCAATGTCTATTGAGATGTTTGTATGCTTTTGATTCTGTTTATGTGATAAATCAAAAGTATTGATTGGTGCATTTTGAAGTGCCTTGCATCCAAGGGATAAAGCCTTTTTGATCATGCAGTATTAACTTTTTAATGTGCTGCTGAATTCAATTTGCTAGTATTTTCTTGAGAATTTTTGTGTCTATGTTCATGACGAAGAGTGGTCTGAAATTTTCTTTTCTCATTGTGTCTCTGCCAGATTTTGGTATTAGGCTGATGCTGGCTTCATAGAATGATATAGGGAGGAGCTTCTCCTCCTTGATTTTTTTTTTTTTGGAATAGGTCTTTAGGATTGGTACCAGTTCTTCTTTTTACATCTGGTAGAATTTAGCTGCGAGTCCATCTGGTCCAAGACTTCTTTTTGTTGGTAGATTGCTTATTAGTAATTCAATTTCAGAAGTTGATATTGGTCTATTCAGTGTTTCAGTATCTTCCTGATTCAATCTTGGGAAACTGCTTCCAGGAATTTATCGATTTCCTCTTGATTTGTGTATACAGAGTTGTGCATAGTAGTCTGTAAGGGTCTTTTCTATTTCTGTGGGATTGGTTATAATATCATATTTGTCATTTCTTATTGTACTTGCTTGGAAATTTGCTTTATTTTTCTTTGTTAATCCAGCGGGAGTCTATCAGTCTTATTTATTTCTTCAAAAAACCAGCTCTTGGTTTCACTGATTTTTTGTATGAATTTTTGTATCTCAATTTCATTAAGTTCTCAAATTTCAGTTATTTCTTTTCTTTGGCTAACTTTAAGGTTGATTTTATTTTCTAGTCTCTTTAGATACAAAATCTGATTGTTAATTTGAGATCTTTCTAACTTCTTAATGAAGTTTTTTAGTACTAAAACTTTGCTCCAAACACTCCTTTGGCAGAATCTTGGAGATTTTGGTATGCTGTGTCCTTATTTTCATTAATTTCAAATAATTTCTTGATTTATGCCTTTTTATACAGGAGTTATTCAGAATTAAGTTGTTTAATTTTCATGTATTTGTGTACTTTTGAGATATCTTCTTGTTATTGATTTCTATTTTTACTGTGTTGTGTTCCAAGAGTATACTTGGTATGATTTCAATTTTTTTTTAATTTATTGAGGCTTGCTTGATGACTGAGTGTGTGGTCAATTATACAATATGTTCCATGCATACATGAGAAGGATTATATTCTGTGGTTGTTAGGTCGAGTGTTCTGTAGGTGTCTATTAGGCCCAATTGGTCAAGTGTCAAGCTTAAGTCCAGAATTTCTTTGTTCCTTTTCTGCCTCGATGATCTGTCTAACACGTTAGTGGGGTGTTGAAATCTCTTACTGTTATTGTGTGATTGTCAAAGTCATTTCGTAGCAAGAACTTGTTTTATGAATCTGGGTGCTCCATCCTTGGGTGCGTCTATATTTAGGATTATTAAATCTTCATTTTGCATTGTACCTTTTATTATTGTATAAAGCCCTTTATTATCCTTTTAATTCTTATTGATGTAAAGCCTGTTTTATTTGATGTAAGAAGAGTGACTCCTGCTCTTCTTTGTTTTCCATTTGCATGGTAGATCTTATGACACCCTTTTACTTTAAGTCATGTGGGTGTAGTAACATCTAAGATAGGTCCCTTGAAGAAGAGAGATGATTGGGTCTTGTACTTTAACGATGCTGCCACTCTGTGTCTTCTAAGTGGGGTGTTTAGTCTGTTTACATTCTAGCTTAGTATTGCTATGTGTGATTTTGATCCTGTCATCATGTTGCTAGCTGGTCGTTATGTAGACTTGATTGTGTAGTTGCTTATAGTGGCTGTGGACTATGTGTTTAAGTGTGCTTTGTGGCAGTACGTGTTACTCTTTCAAATATGTGTTTAGCACTCCCTTAAAAAGACTTCATATAAGTCTTGTCCAGTTGAAATGTATTCCTTTCAGCATTTGCTTGTCAGAGAAGGATTTCTCTATCACTTATGAAGCTGAGTTTGGCTGGATATAATATTCTTAGTTTGAATTTCTTTTATTTAAGAATGCTGCAAATATGCCCCAATCTCTTCTGGCTTGTAAGGTTTCTGCTGAGAAATCTGCTGCTGCCCAGATGCAGTTCCCTCTGTGGGTAACTTGCCCTTTCTCTCTAGCTGCATTTATGACTTTTTAAATTTCTTTTTATTTTATTTTTGCGCTGCCCTTGGTGAATAACTATGTGCCTTGGGGATGATCATCTTGTATAGTAACTGCCTGGGATTCTCTGTGCTTCTTGAATTGGGACATTGACCTCTCTAGTGAGATTAAGGAAATTTTTATAGATTGTAGTCTCAGCTATATTTACTAGGTTGCCTATTTTCTCTCCTTCTTTCTCAAGAATGCCAACGAGTCATATATTTGCTCTCTTTACATGATCCCATATTTGTCAGAGGTTTTGTTAATTTTTCTTTTTCTTTTTTTCTTTCTTTCTTTTTTTTTTTTTTTTCTGAGACAGAGTCTTGCTCTGTTACCCAGGCTGGAGTGCAGTGGCACAATCTTGGCTCACTGCAACCTCTGCCTCCTGGGTTCAAGCAATTCCCCTGCCTCAGCCTCCTGAGTAGCTGAGATTACAGGCACCCACCACTGCACCCGGCTAATTTTTGTATTTTTAATAGAGACGGGGTCTCACCATGTTGGGCTGGCTGGTCTCAAACTCCTGACCTCATGTTCTGCCTGCCTCAGCCTCCCAAAGTACTGGAATTACAGGTGTGAGCCACCACACCTGGCCTTGCTCATTTTTCTTAATTCTTTTTTTCTTTATTTTTATCTGACTCAGTTAATTTGGATAACTGATTTTTGAGATCTGAGATTCTTTCCTCAGCTTACTCTGTTCTGCAGTTAATAATTCTAGTTGTATTATGCAGTTATTGTAGTGAAATTTTCAGCTCAAGAAATTCAGTTTGACATCACAAATACATGGGAAGATCACTTCATGCATATGGATTGGAAAAATCAATATTGTTAAAGTGGCCATACTGCCCAAAACAATTTATAAATTCAATGCTATTCCTACAAAACTACCAATATCATTCTATACAGAGGTATTCTAAAATATGTATGGAACCAAAAACGAGCTCAACTAGCTACAACAATCGTAAGCCAAAAGAACAAAGCTGCAGGCATCACACTACCCAACCGCAAACTATGCTATAAAGCCACGGTGACCAAAACAGATTGTTGCTGATACAAAACAGATATATAGACCAATGAAACAGAATAATAAACTCAGAAATAAAGCTGCACATCTAAAATCATCTGACTTTCAACAAGGCTGACAAAAACAAGCAATGAGGAAAGGACTCTCTATTCAATAAATTGTGCTGGGATAAATGGGTAGCCATATGTAAAAGACTGAGGCTGGATCTCTAAATTTCACCATATACAAAACTTAACTAAAAATGGATTAAACATTTAAATGTAAGAACTCAAACTATACAAATCCTAGAAAACAACCTAGGAAATAACTCTTCTCAATATCAGTCTTGCCAAATAATTTTGGCTAAGTCCCCAAAAGCAATTGCAACAAAAACAAAAATAGACAAATAGGACCTAACTAAAGAGCCTCTGCACAGCAAATGAAACTATCAACAGTTTAAATAGGCAACCTATAGAATCAAAGAATGCATCTGACAAAGATCTAGAATTTAGAATTTATAGGAAGTTTAAACAATTCAGCAAGATAAAAACAAATAACCCCATTAAGAAAAAGAACATGAACAGGCATTTGACATAGAAGAAGACATACAAGTGGCCAAAAAACACACGAAAAAATGCTCAGTATCATTAGTCATCTGAGAAATGCAAATCTAAACTGCACTGAAATATCATCTCACATCAGTTAATGGCCATTATTAAAAAAGTCAAAAAACAATAGGTCCTGGTGAGTCTGCAGAGAAAAAGGAACACTTACGCACGGTTGATGGGAATGTAAATTAGTCCAGCCACTGTGGAAAGCAGTTGGAGATTTCTTAAACAACTTACAACAGACCTACCATTTGACCCAGCAATCCCATTACTGAGTATATATCTAAAAGACAATAAATCATTCTACCAAAGGATACATATGCTCGTATGTTCATCGCTGCAGTATTCACAATAGCAAAGACAAAGAATCAACCTAGACGTCCTTGGATGGTGGATTAGAAAAAGAAAATGTAGTACACCATGGAATACTATGCAGCCACAAAAATATGTAAAATCATGTCCTTTAAAACAATATTGATGGAGCTAGAGGCCACAATCCTAAGCAAATTAATGCCAGAACAGAAAACAAAATACCACGTTTTCACTTACAAGGGGAAGCTATACAGTGAGCACACAAAAACATAAATGTGGGAACAATAGACACTGTGGACTACTAGAGAGTATACCTCAGCATCACATAATATCATGTAGCAAATCTGTACATGTATTCCCTGTATAAAAAGCAAACATTGAAATTACTTAAACATTTAAGAAAAATGAATGAAGTTCAGTATCAGAAGCTAAATGTCTTTTTAAAGCTATATTTATTTCATGTTACTCTGATTAAAAGGTAGTATTATCAAAGAGATGTCTGAGATACTACAGAAACCAATCAAATTTTATTTCTTAAATTAATTTCAAGTGTGACACACTGAACAAGCACACTCTCCTTCCCAGTAAATAAGTAAACACACACACTATGGACAGAATGTGCCCCCGAAAACTTATTTTGAAATCGTAATTCCCAATGTGATGGTATTTGGAGATGAAGCCTTTGGGAAGTAATTAGGGCTTTAAGTGCAGTCCTCGTGCTGGGATTAGTGCCCTTATACAAAGAGACATGAGAGAGTTTTCATACTTTCTCTTTAATATGTGATGATACACAAGAAAGTATCCCTGTACAAACCAGGAAGAAGGCCCTCTACAGAAACCAAATCAGCCAGTGCCTTGGATTTACCAGCCTTCAGAACTGTAAGAAATAATTGTTTGTTGTCTAAGCCACCAAGTCTATGGCCTTTTTTATAGCAGCCTAAGTTATCTAAGACAATATGAAAATTAAAATTAACCAATGAAGACAAAGCAAAACAAAATGAAGTCTCTATAGGAAGAAAACTGAATGAGGAGGAAGAAGAGGAGATAATTGATAACAGCTTGACAGACTGATAGACACTGCTCCTCATATTCTCTCAAAAATGTTTTACGAATGCGAACCTAACAGACTGGCAGCTGACACAGAAATATAAACGATAGCATCTTAGACAAAAAGAACTGTTCAGCCGAGCCCATTCCAAATTGCTAATACACAGAATCATGAGTTAAATAAACAGTTCTTACTTTAAACAAATAGGTTTCTAGAGCAGTTTGTTCCATAGCAAAGGCACAACTGTGACACAAACCCAGATGGCTCTCTTTCTGTCTGTCCTAATTCCCAAGCAGAACAAGAGAAGCGATATGAGTACAGGAACATTTACCTTATTTACATTGACTTCAGCTAAATTATGGTGCAATAAAATATATCTGCCTTAACCAATAAGTCCTAAAGATTTCCTGTTCATTTCAGCTATTTGTTTAGATTCCACTTGCATTTCTTCATCACTTCATTTATATTTTACTGCACCATATTTTTTCAAAATTCACCTTAGTTCTGCCTCCATTTCATTTCCTCCTTTATTCTCAACCTAATACTTTTCTCTATTACTGTATTAATCTCATAAGGAGCAGAATCTAATCACCTAGGCAGCTTTCAGAGGTAGCTGTATACTTTAGTGTTAATTTAAATATCATGTCAGATTTTGTTAACTTTCCTTACTTTACTCTTTAATGCTCTAAAACTGGAAGCACTTTTTTAGTCTCTAATTATCTTTCTAGATTTTTCCCCCACCGTTCCCTGAATTTACTGAAAAAAAATCACATTATTTTCAAAGAATTAGCATGCAAAATATTAATTAGTATAAAATATTAACAATTAGTATGAGTATTATTAAATGTACATTACCAAATAATTATACTCTTCTAAACATTTACCAGTTGCCCCATCATTTTTTAAAATTTATCTTTCATTAACTGATAAAATACTAACTTTATCATATAGCAAATTCAAAAATTGACTCAAATTTGGTTTTGTACTTTCATGTTCAATTCCATTGACTTGCCTAGTCCTTTCATTAAGAAATCTCTTTAATTATACTGTCTTTTAATCTATTTCAACATCATCTAGAGCCTATTTGTTTCAGTTCATTATTATTCTTTTGTAGCATCTATATGACCCTTTTCATAAGATATTTTTGTTTATATAAATTTATATTATTGGTCAAGTTTCATAATAATCTTAGTGCTTCAATTAAAATTATTTGGAATTTGAAAAACTATTTAGGGGTACTAAATCATATGATTATCTTCATGAATATCAGAAATAGAATCTGACAAAATTCAATTATCCTTTATGTTAAAGCATGTATAGAAGAGGAATTTATAGATCTTCCTTTAATATAATAAAATTTACATAACTTAGTGCAGTTTCTAGCATGTCACTTGGGGAAATAACAGAGACTTTTCTGATAAAGTCAAGAAAAAGATAAAGACATAGACTTTTGTCATAATATTTAACATTTAGTTGAAGATGTTAGCCAGTGTGATTAAACAAGAAGAAACAAATACAGGTTACAAATTAAAAATTATAGATTAAAAATATTTGAGACAGATACATTTATATCAGCCATCACAATAATAGGCCATTGTGTGAAGTCACCACTCAATCCACTCCCTACTGCATCATCAGTTGATTTCTCAAAGTTTCTGCATATATTGGTTACATAAAGATGGAAGGAAGAAGGTTAGATGAGGGTAGGGTAACAGAATCTGACAAGTTCACAGATCAGAGGGGCTTAAAAGATAGTAATAAGTAAATATCTGTACAAATCTCTGGATGGAATAGATCCTATGACTCAAGATTCCACCTTTTTCACAGGTGGTGATGACTAATAATTTGAATTCTGAGGGGTCATGATAATGAAACCTGAGAATAGAGACCCTTAAAGTGTTTATTTTGCATAATCTACATATCATTAATCTTGTCTCTTAAAGATCTGCTTAAACTAGGCCTAAATCTCAATTCCATTATCCAAGAGAATATAAAATTCTGCTCACACTTTTTATTGTTTTACATAATTTTTTCAATTTTACTCACATTCTCTCTCTGCTTCTGGATCTACATGGGATTCTCTTGATTTTACTATCATTCTGCTTGGGAAGTTAGCTCCTTTTCTGGGTTTCACAAATATATCCTCTCACTAAATTTACTCTTATTAAATTTTCTGAAGATTTTTAAATAATGAAAATTAAATCATCTTCTACCATATTACTGGCTTCATATTCCACATCTTACACCTTACCCCCACCACCCCCGATATCTTTGCCTTCTAGTTTTTTCTATTGTGAAATATTTTTTTCTACATTCAGTCCTTGGGGACTTACATGCTATCCAAGGGGACTTGAAAATAATTATTAATAACAAACCTAATATCCTCCCTAAAATATGTCATGGTTGATAGCGTTTTATTTATCTTGTTTCTTTTGAATATAAAATGAAGATCATATAACTTTGGTTTTTTTGTACATGGCTGTTGGGAGCATGACTTCAGAACCTTTGCTTGTCTAAATCCTTCTGATTATAAAAGGGTTAGGTATCTGATTACCCTAACTTGCTGTATATAAAAGAACAATTACTGGTCAGCTTCACCAAAAGTTACATCAGAATTATTTAGGACGAAATCTGCTGATGCAAAGTAATTAATGAAAAAGCAGACTTTGGTCTTGGCATGCATGACCAAATATCTAAATTCATATAGCCAATAATTCATTTCTCATCACTCATATGAGGACAACAAAGAATAATAAAAAAAGACTTCCCTGTTGCCAGAGTTGCTGACAACACCAGAGATAGAATGCAGATCTTTGAATTTGTTGTCCAAAATGCTTTCTACTCTGTAGTGTCTAATCCCAAAAGGCATATTTTTCTCCTTGAAAATGCCAGAGTTAAAAAAAAAAAGCAGACTATCTTCTGACTGAGGTACAAAGAGATAAACTTCCCTTGAAGTATGAATTGAATAGCTGTTGAGAAGTATGACAAGCTCCCATTTCGATCCAGAGATTATAATTCCTATTCTCTTCAGATGAGACAGACAATTAGTCTAGCAAGTCCTATGGATAGTGAAACTTGAGAAATGGTAGAAGGGAAGATTTTTTTTAAATTTATTTTTATTTTTTAATTTTATTTTTGTTATACTTTATGTTTTAGGGTACATGTGCACAACGCACATGTTAGTTACATATGTATACATGAAGATTTGAAAGATATAATTGAAACTGCAGGGTTTTTTTAGAAATGAAATGCAAAGATTTTGTGTGTGTGTGACAGAGCAGAATGATTTATTGATTCCAAGTTACAATGTATTTCTGATGATTTATGCAAGATAATAAATGAAAATTATGGTAAAAACAACAGGTATTTAACCATATTGTCAATTAATACACATCAAAATATAATCAACAAGTTGAAAATCATGCTATTTTAAAACAGATATATCAATTAGAAAGAAACGATCTAATTTTACATTTTTTAAAATGGGAACACAGGTAATTCTCAGCCAACAAATGCAGACTAAACCCATAAGTTAGATGTTCTTAAATTGCAATGCACATCAATATTACCTGGGAAGGTTTATAAAGAACATGTACCTGGCTCCCATCCTAGACCTCTTGCCTCCAAATACCTATGGAATGAAGTTGAAGAATTCCTGTTCCGAAAATGTTCCCCAGGTGATCCTAATGCCCTACTGTTGTTAGAATTTGGTCCCTAAATACAATATTATTGATATGCTATGTTGATCTAATGAATGGGAAAGAGATTTCAGGCACCATTCACTCATTATCAGTCACTTGACAACTGCTGATGCCTGTACACTGACATCTCCAGGTGGTGAGTGATATAGGGCATGATTATTCACAAGGACAGAGGATTTTTCTGTTGAATGAATTTTTATCTCTACCTCTATTTTTCATTTTAAAGAATCTGATTACTCCTTTGTGTTCATTCATGGTAAATTGACTACTTCAAAGAAGTTTAAATCGATTTTATTGATTAGAGATGCTCAGAGAAATACTACAGAGTAAGAACGTGAAGTGAATTGACCAAAACTCTTATATCAAATATGATTTAGATAATAAAATAAAGCTTATATAAATTAGTTAAAAAACAACTAATGATAATTTTATAGTGTTTTCTTTATTGTCATTACCTATCAAAATGCTGATTGCTATATTTAAAGTCATAGAATGAGTAAGTAAATTATTGTGCAATTAAATCTTGTATTTATTTGGATCTTTCTAATCTAAAGGAGAAAACTATGAAGACTGAGACTTTTTAACTTTTTCATATTAAAATTACAAAAATAGAAGTAAAACTAATAGCACTTATCTTTTCCTTACGTAGCTTCAACAATCTGTCATTTTTGTATTATCTAGTTTCATACACACTTCATCCTTCCACGAGATTGTTATGTTTCTTTATTACTTTTTAAGATAAATTTCAGAGGCATTTTGCAAGTTTTGAGAGGGTAACGATAAGTTCTAAAACCACTCTCAAGCTCAATAATTTGCCAGAAGAAATGACAGAACTCACTGAGCAATTATATTCAAAGTTATGGTTTATTACAACAAAAGGATAGACTAAAATCAGCTAAGGGAAGAGTCTGGAAAGATTCCAAATGCAAAACTTCCATTGTTGTCAGGGAGACATTACAGTCTGGCTTTGATGTGCGACATTAGGAAAAACTATTGCCAACCTAGGGAACTCACCCAAGCTAAAAAGTCTGAAGATTTGATTGCCCCTTCATTATGGAGGCATGATTGACTAATTTTCCACATGGTTGAACTCAGTCTCTAGACCTCACCTCCATCCTTGGTGGTCTGGCTGATAAGGTGTGACCCAAAGTGTCCACAACTTTAAAAATTCCAAGAGTTTAAGAGGTGACCTCCTAGGAATTAAGGACAAAGATGAGATCTCTCTTTAAGAAAGGATAAATTCTGCATGCATGTATTATGATGTATAAATCTTAGCTATTCAATTTTGTAACTCATGTATCTATCACAATAAACAAATTTTTCATCTTTCTAGGAAATTTTCTTGATTTCTTTTCTACTCAGATCAATCCCCATTTTGACTACCAGTATTTTTTTTCTTTAAGTTCTGGGGATACATGGGCAGACCGTGCAGGTTTGTTACATAGGTATACATGTGCCATGGTGGTATGCTGCACCCATCAATCCGTCATCTACATTAGGTATTTCTCCTAATGCTATTTCTCCCCTAGCCCCCTACTCCCCGACAGGCCCCAGTGTGTGATGTTCTCCACCCATCATGTGTCCATGTGTTCTCATTGTTCAACTCCCACTTATGACTAAGAACATGCAGTGTTTTGTTTTCTGTTCCTGTGTTAGTTTACTGAGAATGATGGTTTCCAGCTTCATCCATGTCCCTGCAGAGGACGTGGACTCATTTTTTTATGGCTGCATAGTATTCTGTGGTGTATATGTGCCACATTTTCTTTATCCATTCTATCACTGATGGACATTTGGGTTAGTTCCAAGTCTTTGCTATTGTGAACAGTGCTACAATAAACATAAATGTGCATGTATCTTTATAGGAGAATGATTTATAAATATTTGGGTATATACCCAGTAATGGGATTGCTGGGTCAAATGGTATTTCTGGTTCTAGATCCTTGAGGAATCACCACATTGTCCTCAATAATGGTTGAACTAATTTATACTCCCACCAACAGTGTAAAGGTGTTCCTATTTCTCCACATCCTCTCCAGCATCTGTTGTTTCCTGACTTTTTGATGATCGCCATTCTAACTGGCGTGAGATGGTGTCTCATTACGGTTTTGATTTGCATTTCTCTACTGACCAGTGATGATGAGCTTTTTTTTCATATGTTTGTTGGCCACATAAATGTCTTCTTTTGAGAAGTGTCTGTTCATATCCTTCACCTACTTTTTGATGGGGCTGTTTTTGTTTTGTTTTGTTTTGTTTTTTGTGAATGTAAGTTCCTTGTAGATTCTGGATATTAGCCCTTCATCAGAGGGATACATTGCAAAAATTTTCTCCTCTTCTGTAGGTTGCCTGTTCACTCTGCTGATAGTTTCTTTTGCTGTGCTGAAGCTCTTTAGTTTAATTAGATTGCTTGTGTCAATTTTGGCTTTTGCTGCCATTGCTTTTGGTGTTTTAGTCATGAAGTCTTTGCCCATGCCTATGTCCTGAATGGTATGGCCTAGGTTTTCTTATGGTTTTAGGTCTTACGTTTAAGTCTTTAATTCATGTCGAGTTCATTTTTGTATAAGGTGTAAGGAAGGGGTCCAGTTTCAGTTTTCTGCATATGGCTAGACAGTTTTCCCAACACCATGTATTAAACAGGTACTCCTTTCCCCATTGCTTGTTTTTGTCAGGTTTGTCAAAGATCAGATGGTTGTAAATGTGTGGCATTATTTCTGAGGCGTCCATTCTGTTCCATTGGCCTATATATCTGTTTTGGCACCAGCACCATGCTGTTTTGGTTACTGTAGCCTTATAGTGTAGTTTGAAGTCAGGTAGTATGATGCCTCCAGCTCTATTCTTTTCGCTTAGGATTGCATTGGCTATGCAGGCTCTTTTTTGGTTCCATATGAAATTTAAAGTAGTTTTTCTCTAATTCTGTGAAGAAGGTCAGTGGTAGCTTCATGGGAATAGCATTGAATCTATAAATTACTTTGGGCAGTATGGCCATTTTCACAAAATTAATTCTTTCTATCTATGAGCATGCAATGTTTTTCCATTTGTTTGTGTCCTCTCTGATTTCCTTGAGCAGTGATTTGTACTTCTCCTTGAAGAGTTCTTTAACAACCCTTGTAAGTTGTATTACCAGGTATTTTATTCTCTTTGTAGCAATTGTGGATGGGAGTTCACTCATGATTTGGCTCTCCATTTGTCTGTTATTGATATATAGGAATGCTTGTGATTTTTGCACATTGATTTTGTATACTGAGACCCTTTATTTTTTATTTCTTTCATGTTGTATTAGCTTTACTGAACTTCATATCAATGCAATCTGGGTAACATATTTTTGGTAATGGCATCCTGAAAAAGTTGAGAAATTTCCTTCTGTAGAAGAAATGTATAAAAGTGGATAACAATGTCAAAAACAACCATTTCAAGGCATTAAGCAGAATACAATGATAAAAACCTGAGAGAAACATATTCTTACAAATTGGTTCCCTATCAGGTAGTAATGGTTGTAAGTCTCCAGCTATCTTTATTTCTATTCAGCTCTAATTCAGGATGCAAAAAATCAGCTTTATCAGAGGCATGTGGTGTCCACTATCTACAAGTGGTGGATTCAAAACAGGCAGAAACACACACACGCCAAACACACATACACACACACAATAAATAAATAAATAAATACATTCCAAGTTAATAGGTATAAACTTTGCTTTCAGTTTAGACCAATGGCAGATTAGGCATAAATTTAGCAGACAGATCCTGGAATTGAGGGAGAGGTAGAAGCACTGACATAATAAACTCTCCACCAAAATCCTGGCTTGCTATTAAACTACATGTACAAGGAAGAGACCTCAAAGCACTAGACAGAAAGTTCAAATTCAAATTAGACTTTATAACTTGCCACACCTTTAATGCTGCACTATGCAATGCATTATGCAACCCACGTACAACTCAGGTGGCAGAAAGTGGAAGGTTTACAGGTCCCAAATATGTGATCATAGACTCTTAGCCCCAGCTCAAATTATTGGCTGACTAGTAAACAAAACTATACAGGGGACAGCCCTAAATGGGGATACATACACACCCACAAACATACACACCCACACACACACACACACATACACACACATGATTGTATACTGTAAAGGAGATAGTTATGCAGTTTAAGTCCATGCAAGTAAGTAAATCAAAATCCTTTGGAAGAATAACACAAAATTTAGAAATATTGAAATATCTTATCTATGATGAACAGTTTTCAAAAATCGGTAGGAATATAATTAATTAAAAAGTGTGAACAAAATCCAGGAAAAATAAGAGGCATTCAGTATAAACTGACTCTGATTGGTTTTTGACATTGGTTTTAGCTAAAAATAAATAAATAAAAAAAATTAAGACAGCTATGATAAATGTGCTCAAAGAATTAAATAATGATATGCTAAAAATAAGAGAGAAATGAAATCTATACTAACACCCAATTGGAAATTATAGACCTGAAAAGTACAACAACTTAAATGAAAAATTTGCTAGCTGGGATGTATATAAAACAAGCAATTGCAGACATTATCCTACAGGTAGAGAGACATGGATGGATGGATGGGACATAGGTTCTGTTCTAACAAGTGAATTTACCATTTCTCTGCTTGCAGTGACATTTTCTGTGAGAAGACCTTGGTATTATTCCTTATTCTGACTTTCCTTATAATCTTCTGTAATGTATTTAACATATCTGTGCCTGTTTTCTTATGTCTTCGAAACTAAAACAATAATAGTATGAAAATATGTTGCAATTTATTTGGTAAGAATCATGAGTTAATTTATACAAAATTAGCATATTATGCATATTAATTATAAGTACTATTATTAACACTTCTAATCATGATGAGAGGTTTTATGAATAAGCTAGTAGAAATTTCCAGCTCTCTAGGAAAATTTTATTGAGAAAGCTTCCTAATGGCACATCTTAGTTCATCAGGTAAAAAATGCTTGCCATTTATAACTATCTCACAGTATCTCTAATGTACAAAATTTCAAGTTTTAAAATAGTTCAATTTTTCTATTCTAAGATTCCAGATTTAACTGCAGATAGAATAAATTTTAGACATGGAAAAATTTCAGCAATAGCACAACATCTGGTCAAAATCACCTTCCTGAATTTTCTGACCTTATCCCATTCAATTCTTCCCCATTCATAAACATTGAGGCACATACACAAGAGTGTGCAAACAATGTTGCCTTTTACTATAATGAGCTTATAAAAATGTGAATATTAATCCCACACTTTTAATTTCATTCATTATTACATATATTAAAGCCATTTTATTTGAATAATATGGAATAAATATTTTTTCATAAAATGAGATTTAAGGAAGAATTATAGATTTTACAAACTAATTTAAGCTTAAAGACTATGAATATAAATTTCTTTCTTCCTTATGATGATAATCCAATATAATGACAAGAAGGGATACTTTTTAATGGTATACTAACAATGAGTAAATGAAAGACATAATATTGTTGGACGATAGTTCTACAAACTTTTGGAAGAAGAAAATCTGATAAAAGAGTGTTGACTGATGGAGTAGAAGAAAATAAATCTCACTTAGAATAATATGCAAAAGTTGATACACCTGAGGAAGGAACTATCATCTGTGCAGAGACTGCTAATTTCCCTTGGTATTTCTGCTTTTCTTCCTTTTTGAAAATTAAAGCACTTCGACATCTAGCCTCTCATTTTTAACAAGAAATACGGCTCAGCTAGGAATTACATATTTTAGCCTTCCTATGGCTAAATACATCCATGTGCCTAAGTTCAGATCAATAAAATGTAAGCAGAATTTCATGTAAAATGTCTCAACTACAATCTTAAAGTGAAAGTTTATTGTTTTCTATCCTCTTTCTGCTTTACTTTGTCAGGAAAAAGGAGTTGCCTTGGTCTCCAAGACAGAAATTTTATGCCAAGTATAGCAAAATCAATCTACCAGCTTGGGTCTATGAATGTCATGGAGTGGAGTCACCTATCAGCCATGAACTGTACACAAACTTCTTATCTTCTATGTCAGAAATAAATTAGTTTCTGTTTATTTAAAGAATTGTATTTTGGAGTGTCTTTGTTAAAGCAGCTTAGACTTTATCTTATCGAATATAATATTTTTCCTGACAAAAATCACAGAGAGGCTCCAAACCATAAGAAGGAGATTACAGTTAAGAATGAGAATAAGAGATTGAGCTAAAGGAAAGTATTGGTTTGAAATTTGTAAATAGAACACCCCCACCCACAACTTCATTCCAATAATATCGCTCTTCCCAACACTCCATTCTGCAGTCTACTACCTTGAAAGGAAAAGAAAGTGCTATTGTCTTTGGAAATTAAACTGATTCTTTGGAAGAAATAGGACAGTTAAGTTTAGGTTTACTCAGGGAAGGAATTAGGGTGAGCTGAGTATAGTCAAGTGAGCCAAGTAGAGATTTAGATCCTATCTTTATATAAATTACTGATATTTTTCCACTATGGATTTTTGCATTAATTTCAATTTTTTTAAAAAAATTATGCTTTCCAATTATCTTGATTCCTGAGTTTTTGTCACCATCCTAAATTCTGTGCCAGATGTAAGTGTTTCACTTACATCACTGTAGAGGACCAGCCAAGGTTTTACCAACTCAGTCTTCACTGTTGACCATTTAGATCTCTTAACAATCCTAAGGATACCTTATTGACAGCTTACTCTAAGCAAATTTTAATAGCTAACAAGCTCAATACAAATGCACAAAGGTACTAATTTTGTCATTCTTTTATATTTAAATAATTTCTCAATTTCATCCAAATTATAAAAATATTTTTAAAGCCAATTACTACTAAAAAATTTATCTAAACTGGGCACGGTCACTCACACCTGTAATCTTAGCACTTTGGGAGGCTGAAGTGGGCAGATTGCCTGAGCTCAGTTTGAGACCAGCCTGATTAAAATGGTGAAACCTTGTCTCTACTAAAAATACAAAAAAATAGCAGGGCATGGTGGCACATGCCTGTAATCCCAGCTCCTCAGCAGGCTGAGGCAGAAGAATCACTTGAAGCCAGGAGGCGGAGGCTGCAGTGAGCCGAGATTGTGCTACTGCACTTCAGCCTGGGCAACAAAACAAGACTCTGTCTCCAGAAAAAAAAAAAAAAAGAAAAAGAAAAACAAAGGTTTATCTAAATAACTTGAATAACAATAGTTCTTATTAACTTTCAGATAAAATCTATAGATGTCATTATGTAATAATAATTTTTTTAAAATTATACTTTAAGTTCTAGGGTACAAGTGCACAACGTGCAAGTTTGTTACATATGTATACATGTGCCATGTTGGTGTGCTGCACCCATTAACTTGTCATTTACATTAGGTATATCTCCTAATGCTATCCCTCCCCCCTGCTCCCCACCCCATGACAGGCCCCGGTGTGCGATGTTCCCCTTCCTGTGTCCAAGTGTTCTCATTGTTCAATTCTCACCTGTGAGTGAGAACATGTAGTGTTTGGCTTTTTGTCCTAGCGATAGTTTGCTGAGAAAGATGGTTTCCAGCTTCATCCATGTCCCTACAAAGGACATGAACTCATCATTTTTTATGGATGCATAGTATTCCATGGTGTATATATGACACATTTTCTTAATCCAGTCTATCATTGATGGACATTTGGGCTGGTTCCAAGTCTTTGCTATTGTGAATAGTGCTGCAATAAACATACGTGTGCATGTCTTTATGGCAGCATGATTTATAATCCTTTGGGTATATACCCAGTAAAGGGATGGCTGGGTGAAATGGTATTTCTAGTTCCAGATCCTTGAGGAATCACCACACTGTCTTCCACAATGGTTGAACCAGTTTACAGTCCCACCAACAGTGTAAAAGTGTTCCTATTTCTCCACATCCTCTCCAGCACCTGTTGTTTCCTGACTTTTTAATGATCGCCATTCTAACTGGTGTGAGATGGTATCTCATTGTGGTTTTGATTTGCATTTCTCTGATGGCCGGTGATGATAAGCATTTTTCATGTGTCTTTTGGCTGCATAAATGTCTTCCTTTGAGAAGTGTCTGTTCATATCCTTTGCCCATTTGTTGATGGGGTTGTTTTTTTCTTGTAAATTTGTTTGACTTCTTTGTAGATTCTGGGTATTAGCCCTTTTTCAGATGAGTAGATTGCAAAATTTTCTCCCATTCTGTAGATTGCCTGTTCACTCTGATGGTAGTTTCTTTTGCTGTGCAGAAGCTCTTTAGTTTAATTAGATCCCATTTGTCAATTTTGGCTTTTGTTGCCATTGCTTTTGGTGTTTTAGACGTGAAGTCCTTGCCCATGCCTATGTCATGAATGGTATTGCCTAGGTTTTTTTCGGTTTTAGGTCTAACATTTAAGTCTTTAATCCATCTTGAATTAATTTTTGTATAAGATGTAAGGAAGGGATCCAGTTTCAGCTTTCTACATATGGCTAGCCAGTTTTCCCAGCACCATTTATTAAACAGGGAATCTTTTCCCCATTGCTTGTTTTTGTCAGGTTTGTCAAAGATCAGATGGTTGTAGTTGTGTGGTATTATTTCTGAGGGCTCTGTTCTGTTCCATTGGTCTATATCTCTGTTTTGGTATCAGTACCATGCTGTTTTGGTTACTGTAGCCTTGTAGTATAGTTTGAAGTCAGGTAGCGTGATGTCTCCAGCTTTGTTCTTTTGGCTTAGGATTGTCTTGGCAATGTGGGCTCTTTTTTTGTTCCATATGAACTTTAAAATAGTTTTTTCCAATTCTGTGAAGAAAGTCATTGGTAGCTTGATGGGGATGGCATTGAATCTATAAATTACCTTGGGCAGTATGGCCATTTTCACAATATTGATTCTTTCTATCCATGAGCATGGAATGTTCTTCCATTTGTTTGTATCTTTTTTTATTTCATTGAGCACTGTTTTATAGTTCTCCTTGAAGAGGTCCTTCACATCCCTTGTAAGTTGGATTCCTAGGTATTTTATTCTCTTTGAAGCAATTGTGAATGGGAGTTCACTCATGATTTGGCTCTCTGTTTGTCTGTTATTGGTGTATAAGAATGCTTGTGATTTTTGCACATTGGTTTTGTATCCTGAGACTTGGCTGAAGTTGCTTATCAGCTTAAGGAAATTTTGGGCTGAGACGATGGGGTTTTCTAAATATACAATCATGTCATCTGCAAACACGGACAATTTGACTTCCTCTTTTCCTAATTGAA
Organism: Homo sapiens; assembly: GCF_000001405.40. Classification (NCBI taxonomy): domain Eukaryota; kingdom Metazoa; phylum Chordata; class Mammalia; order Primates; family Hominidae; genus Homo; species Homo sapiens. The sequence continues at coordinate 62,417,332 of NC_000006.12, read as the reverse complement.
TACCCTTTATTTCTTTCTCCTGCCTAATTGCCCTGGCCAGAACTTCCAACACTATGTTGAATAGGAGTGGTGAGAGAGGGCATCCCTGTCTTGTGCCAGTTTTCAGAGGGAATGCTTCCAGTTTTTTGCCCATTCAGTATGATATTGGCTTTGGGTTTGTCATAAATAGCTCTTATTATTTTGAGATACGTCCCATCAATACCTAATTTATTGAGAGTTTTTAGCATGAAGGGCTGTTGAATTTTGTCAAAGGCCTTTTCTGCATCTATTGAGATAATCATGTGGTTTTTGTCTTCGGTTCTGTTTATATGCTGGATTACATTTATTGATTTGGGTATGTTGAACCAGCATTCCATCCCAGGGATGAAGCCCCCTTGATCATGGTGGATACACTTTTTGATGTGCTGCTGGAATCAGTTTGCCAGTATTTTATTGAGGATTTTTGCATCAATGTTCATCAGGGTTATTGGTCTAAAATTCTCTTTTTTTGTTGTGTCTCTGCCAGGCTTCGGTATCAGGATGATGCTGGCCTCATAAAATGAGTTAGGGAGGATTCCCTCTTTTTCTGTTGATTGGAATAGTTTCAGAAGGAATGCTACCAGATCCTCCTTGTACCTCTGGTAGAATTGGGCTGTGAATCCGTCTGGTCCTGGACTTTTTTTGGTTGGAGGCTATTAATTATTGCCTCAATTTCAGAGCCTGTTATTGGTCTATTCATGGATTCAACTTCTTCCTGGTTTAGTCTTGGGAGGGTGTATGTGATAATTATTAAGAATTTAGATATCATGTACCACTCCTCTTTACTTCCCAATACACCTGATGTTTATATTATATTTTTGTTTAAATAGTCAGTATTTATTTTATTTTGACTATATAGATCTTTCATTGTTAAGCCCAATACTATAACAAAATTTTTAATTTTTTTCCCTTTCAACTTTTTTGTTTTGTTTATCATTTGCACACTTCTCTCTGTCTCTAGTAAACAGTAAATGGAAGACATGTTTTCTGAGTCCTTGAACCTGAGAAATATCTTAATTCTACAAGAATAATATTTGAATGATGATCTGACAGGCTATAGATTTCTAGATTGAAAATTATTTTCTTCCATATTTTTGAAGGCATGTATATCCCAGCTTTTCAACTGTAGTATCTGTTGACTATTTGGGTACTATTCTTATTCCCACTTCTTTTCATATTACTTCAACTTTTTTCCTATTGGAAGTGTTTAGGTTTTCCTTTACTACTGGTGTTGTACATGTCATAATGATGTAACTTTGATGGGAGTTATTTTCCCTTATTTCATAGTTATTTCATAGGCACTTTCAGTTGTGATAAATGTTCTTGTGATTTTATTTTCTGATATTTTCCTCTGACTACTTTCTTATTTGTCTTTTTAAAAACATTTTAATATTGAACCTCTTTTTTACTGGTTACTAATTTTGCTTCTTTTCATTTCTACTACTAAAATATTTCTCTTGGGGATATTTTTGGAGAGGCATTCTGGAATTTTTCTTCAAAATCTTTAATTGAATATTTAATTTGAAATGTCTCAAGAACAACACTCAAAATTGCATCCTTTATTTTCTTATTTTATAGTATGTTTTTATTATAGTATGAAATTTTAGAGAATGTTTTTAAAATTTCCTTTTTTAAACTTTTATTTTAGGTTTGGTAGTACATGTTCATGTTTGTTATATAGGTAAACTCCTGTCACAGGTGTTTTCTGTACAGATTATTTCATCACTCAGGTACTAAGCCAAGTACCCAATAGTTATTTTTTTCTGATTCTCTCCCTCCTCTCACCGTCTACCCTTTGATAGGCCCCAGTGTCTTTGTTCCCCTCTATTTAGTCATGTGTTCTCATCATTTAGCTCCCACTTATAAGTGAGAACATGTTGTATTTGGTTTTTGGTTCCTGCATTATTTTGCTAAGGATAATGGCCTCTAGGTCCATCCATGTTCCTGCAAAGGACACGATCTTATTTTTTTATGACTGCGTAATATTCCACCATGTATACTATCACATTTTTTAATCCAGTCTACCAATGAAGGGTATTTAGGTTGATTCCATGTCTTTGTTATTTTGAGTAGTGCTGCAATGAACATATGTGTGCATGTGTCTTTAGAATAGAACCGTTTGTATTATTTTGGGTATATGCCCAGTAATGGGATTTTTTGGTCAAATGGTATTTCTGTTTTTAGTTCTTTGAGGAATTGCCACACTGCTTTTCATAATGGCTGAACTAATTTACACTCCCACCAACAATGTATAAATGTTCCCTTTTCTCTGCAACCTCATCAGCACCGATTATTTTTTGATATTTTAATAATAGCCATTTTAAGTTCCTTATAGATGTAGAATATTAGACTTCTGTCAGATGCATAATTTGGAAATATTTTCTCCCATTTTGTAGGCTGTCTGATTACTTCGTTGGTAGCTTTTTTTTTTTTTTGATGTGTAGAAGTTCTAAAGTTTAATTAGATCCTGTCTCTCAATTATTGCTTTTGTTGCAATAGCTTTTGGAGTCTTTGTCATGAAATTTTTGCCTAGTCCTATGTCCCGAGTGGTATCACCTAGGTTGTCTTCCAGGGTTTTTATAGTTTTGAGTTTTACATATAAATCTTCAATCCATTTTAAGGTTTTTTTTTTGTTTTTTTTTTTTGTATATGGTATAAGGAAGGTGTCCAGTTTCAATCTTCTTCATTTTGCTAGCTAGCTATCCGAGCACCGTTTATTGAATGAAGAGTCTTCCTGCATTGGTTGTTTTTGTAGGCTTGGTCAAAAATCAGACGGTTGTAAGTTTGCAACCTTAATTCTGGGCTCTGTATTCTGTTCCATTGGTTTGTGTGTCTGTCTTTGTACCAGTACCACGCTGTTTTTGTTACTGTTGCCCTGTGGTATAGTTTGAAGACAGCTAGCATGATGCCTCCAGCTTTGTTCCTATTTCTTATAATTGCTTTGGATATTTGGGATCTTTTTTGGTTTCATGTAAATTTTTAAATTTTTTTTTTAGTTCTGTAATGAATGTCACTGGACATTTGATAGAAATAACATTGAATCTGTAAATTGCTTTGGGCAGTATGACCATTTTGGTAACATTGATTCTTCCTATCGATGAGCATGAGATCTTTTTCTATTTGCTTGCTGCATCCCTAATTTCTTTGAGCAGTGTTTTGTAATTCTCATTGTAGAGATCTTCCACCTCCCTTGTTATCTGTATTCCTAGGTATTTTATTCTTTTTGTGGCTATTACGAATGAAATTATGTTTCTTATTTGGCTCTTAGCTTGGTTGTTATTAGGATATATAGGAAAGTTACCGATTTTTGTATGTTGATTTTGTATCCTGAAATTTTGCTGAAGTTGTTTATCAGCTGAAGCAGCTTTTGAGCCAAGACTATGGGATTTTCTAGATATAGAATCATATTGGCTGCAAACAGGGATAGTTTCTGTCTCTATTCTTGTTTGGATGCCCTTTATTTCTTTCTCAGGCCTGATTGCTCTGTCTAGGACTTCCAATATTATGTTGAACAGGAGTGGTGAGAAAGGTCATCCTTGTCTTGTGCCAGTTTTCAATGGGAATGCTTCCAGGTTTTGCCCATTCAGTATGATGTTGGCTGTGGGTTTGTCATAGATGTGTCTTATTACTTTGAGGTATTTTCCTTCTATACCTAGTTTGTTAGGAGTTTTTAACATTAAGGGATGTCGAATTGTATCAAAAGACTTTTCTAAATCTATTGAGATGATCATGTGGTTTTTGTCTTTAGTTCTGTTTATGTGATGAATCACATTTATTGACTCATATACGTTAAACCAAGCTTGCATCCCAGGAATAAAGTCTACTTGGTCATGGTGTATTAATTTTTTGATGTGTTACTGGATTTGGTTTGCTAGTATTTTATGGAGTATTTTTTCCATCAGTGTTCATCAAGGTTATTGGCCTGAACATTTCTTTTTTTTTTTGGTTGGGTCTCTGCCAGATTTTGCTATCAGGATGATGCTGCCCTCATAGAATGAGGTTGGGAGGAGACACTCCTCCTCAATTTTTTGGAATAGTTTCATTAGGAATGGTACCAGCTCTTCTTAGTACATCTGATAAAGTCTGGCTGTGAATCAATCTATCTGGTCTTGGGCTTTTTTTTTTTTTTTTTTTGGTTGGTAGGCTGTTTGTTACCGATTCAATTTTGGAGCTCATTATTCATCTGTTCAGGGATTCAGTTTCTTCCTGATTCAATCTTGGGAGAGTGTGTCTATCCAGGAATTTATCCATTTATTCTAGATTTTCTAGTTTGTGTGCATGGAAGTGTTTAAAGCAGTCTCTTATGGCTATTTGTATTTCTGTGGGGTCAGTAGTAATATCCCCGTTGTCATTTCTAATTGTGTTTATTTGTGTCTTCTCTATTCTTTTTTATTAGTCTAGTTAATGGTCTATTATTTTATTTCAAAAAATTAGCTCCTGGATTCACTGATCTTTTGAATGGTTTTTAATGTCTCAACCTCCTTTAGTTCAGCTCTGATTTTGGTTATTTCTTGTTCTTCTAGCTTTGAGGTTGGTTTGCTCTTGTTTCCTGGTTCCTCTACATGTGATGTTAAGTTATTAATTTGACATCTTTGCAGCTTTTTGTTATAGGCATTTAGTGCTATAAACTTCCTGCTTAACACTGATTTATCTGTGTCCCAAAGATTTTGGTATGTTGTATCTTTGTTCCCATTATTTTCAAGGAATTTCTTGACTTTTGTCTTAATTTCATTGTTTACCCAAAAGTCATTCAGGAGTAGGCTGTTTAATTTTCATGTAATTCTGTGGTTACAAAAAGTCTTAGCATTGGCTTATATTTTAATTCTGCTGTGGTTTGAGGGAGTGGTTGGTATGATTTTATTTTATTTTATTTTTTGCATTTGCTGAGGATTGTTTTATGTCCAATTCTGTGATCAATTTTAGAGTACATGCTATGTGGCAATGAGAAGAATGTAGTAAAGTTAAATTTCTGCAGGTATGCAAATTTGTGTAGACAATGCTATCGCACACATAATACACTGCAGTATAGTGTAAGCATAACTTTTATATGACTGGCAAACTAAAACATTGTTTTACATGCTTTGTTGTTATATTCACTTTTATTGTGACGGTCTGGAACTGAACCCCCAATATCTCTGAGATATGCCTGTGTCTATATTTATATTTATATATACATCTATGTCTAGCTATCTTTATATAGCCTTTTGGTCCTACTTCTGTGGAGAGCCCTAATACACCCCCAGAGTTCCTCACTTTTCTCTTACTGTTAATGCTAAAGATATTAGATATTTCATTCTTTTTTAGATCTGGGCCTGTCACAGAATTATAAAAGTAAAGCTGAATAAAGAGTGTTACTTAATACATATATTTGATAAAATCTAAAAACAAAACCATTTCAAAATTTTTATTACTCAATGAGGATCAAATATGACAAACAATTTGTCCACTCACATAGATAATTAATTGAGGAATCTAGATCACAATCTAGGACTTTCAATACCCATTCTATTTCCTATTATCATACTAATGGAAAAGTGCAATTCACTTTCTACTAATAAGGTGATATTTAATAGGGTGCAGTTTTTGACAGAAAGATAGGAAAGAATTTTTTTATCCAGCAAATGTCATAAGATATATAAAGAAGGAAGCCATATACAAGTAAGTACAGTGGGTGTTCAGAGTGGAGAGATAAAAAATTGTTTGTCCATAAAAGAAATTTAAACCATTGAGTCAGGGCGCTGAGATGTCAAAACATATACACCTTGCATATTAATGAAGAAGTTTTTGGACTAATTTTTAGGTTTTCTTCATGATCATAAACACTCATAAAAGAAATTTAATGGAAGATATGCCAACTTCTAGAACATAAAGATTTCAGACAGGTAGGAAATTTATCTTTTTTTTTTTTTTTTTTTTTTGAGGGTGCTTTAATAAGAACTTTATTTTTTAGAGAGTACACATTTCTTTACTCCTTACTTTACTATCAAAACAATTTGTTTGCAACACGTGACTAATCTCTGGGGATAATGCTCTTTATCTAACATCCTTCATTATGTGAAAATAAAATAGACTTTTATAAATTCTCATGCCACAAAAATATTTTCACTTAGAATTTTGAACTTGTTATGTAGCTGCATCATGTATCAATTACTAAATGGCTAAATAATTATTTTAATTATATAAGATATACAAGTCTACTACAGAAAAATAGACCATATAAATAAGCATGAAGAAAATTAACCCCAATCTTCCCTATCAAAGAGAATCAGTATGAACGGTCAGAATCTGTTTCATTCAGAACTTCTGTTGTTGTTGTTTTTGTTGTTGTTATTGTTTTTGACACAGGGTCTCACTCTTTTGCCCAGGCTGGAGTGCAGTGGCACAATCTCTGCTCACTGCAATCTCCGCCTCTCAGGCTCAAGTTATCCTCTCACCTCAGCCTCCCAAGTAGCTGGGACTACTTGGGAGTCTGAGGCACCTGCCACCACATCTGGCTAATATTTTCATATTTTTTGTAGAGATGGGGTCTCACTATGTTGCCCAGGCTGGTCTCGAACTCCAGAACTCAAGTGATCCACTTGCCTTCGCCTCCCAAAGTGCTGGAATTACAGGCATAAGCCACTACACTGGCCTCTTTCAGAACTCTTAAAAGTACAAATTCATACATTTATCTTTAAAATACTGATCCTCTATAGAGACTCTCTAATAACTCATTACCATCATATACATTGAAAATACAATTATGTGGATAATCCATAGTTTAAGTAATCAATCTTTATAGTCGGGCATTGAGGAAATTTATCTTAAGTGAGATGGAACCAAACAGAAAACTTAGCTTGAGACCAAAGTTTGTCATGAGCATCAAGGAATAACCCTTCCTGCGATGAGTTGTAAACTTAAATTACTGCCCAATCTGGTCCCCAGTAAACATGTTCTAATTTCGAGAAGTGCCACCCTTCCATTTGTGAATCTTAAAAACAGGTGTAATCATGAAGGGAGTAAATACTCCTACACATTTGGAGCACCAGTAACAGAGGCAGTCAGAAAGGTAGGAGAAAAAAGTATAGCAGGCCAGGCGCTGTGGCTCATGCCTGTAATTGCAGCAATTTGGGAGCCCAAGGCGGGTGGTTCACCTGAAGTCAGGAGTTCAAGATCAGCCTGGCCAACATGGTGAAACCCCGTCTCAACTAAAAATACAAAAATTAGCCAGGCGTGCGGTGGGCACCTGTAATCCCAGCTGCTCAGGAAGCTGAGGCAGGAGAATCGCTTGAACCTGGAAGGCAGAGGTTGCAGTGAGCCAAGACTGTGCCATTGCACTCCAGCCTGGGCAACAGAGCAAGCCTCCGTCTCAAAAAACAAAACAAAACAAAAGTACAGCAGAGCTGCCTTGTAGGCAGGAGAAATAATATTGTAAGTCACTGGTGTGCACTAAGGAGGGTCTAGGAGGTCTTCATTCTCAGTCTATGGTCTGAGTCATTAATTAGCGGCAAATGCAGCTGGGCAACAAGTGGAAATCCCAGGTCTGTGGTTTTCAAATGAAAGAGCTCTTTACCTAACAAGATTTAAGTCAGTTTAATTATACACACATGAAAATATTTAAAAGATAAGTCAGTTTATTAAATGTTAAGAAATTTCTGACTTCTTCTTTTGTTTTACTATAATAGGTAATTAAACTGAACTTATAATTTATTTGAGTATAAATAAATTTTTATAAAAAGCAAATTTTGAGGATATACATGTATAACACAAAGACAAAAATTCTTTTTTTTTTTTTTTTTTTGAGTCAAGGTCTCACTCTGTCACCTAAGCTGGAGTGCAGTGGCATTATATTGGCTCACTGCAACCTCCACTTCCCAGGTTCAAGCCATTCATATGCCTCAGCCTCCCAAGTAGCTGGGACTACAGGCATGCACCAGTACACCCAGCTAATCTTTGTATTTTTAGTAGAGATGGGGTTTTGCCCCATGTTGGCCAGGCTGGTCTCGAATCCCTGGCCTCAAGTGATCTACCTACCTGGGCCTTCCCAAAGTGCTGGGACTACAGGCATGAGGCACCGTGCCCACCCTGTATGTTCCAAATTCTATTGTTAGTCATGACAGTGAGCATTTAGTGTTCCTTTTTATAAATTTTGTTCATGAGTTTTGCTTAAATCTTGTTTAGTTGTCTTTTGGCAGTTATAAAAACATGAATAATGTTAAACTTTATGTTTAAGCAGAGAGAATAAGCTCAAATCTCACCATATCACCAAATCTACACGACTTGTTAAATGAGAAAATGAAAATAGTGTGCATAAATTACTGCAATTTTATTTCTCCTTTCAGGGTCATATTTTCACTGCCCAAAATAATGAATATTCGGTTAAAAAATGGCTTTAGGAAAAAAATCCATATGATTGTCCTAATTCTATTTCCAGGGGATTCATTATAAGCTTTCCAAAATATATATTGCTCATGATTATCATGGCTTTTGTTCAACATAAATATTAAAAGTTGAAGTTTTTTTAACTTTTATTTTAAGTTCAAGGGTACAATTGCAGGTTTGTTACATAGGTAAACTTGTGTCATGGGGTTCGTTGTACAGATTATTTCTCCCTCCTCCTCCCCTCCATCCTCTGAAAGTCCCCAGTGTGTATTGTTCCCTTCTATGTGTTCATGTGTTCTCATCTTTTAGCTCTCACTATGTGAGAACATGCGGTATTTGGTTTTGTGTTCCTGCATTAGTTTGCTAAGGATAATGGCCTCCAGCTCTGTCCATGTATCTACCAGGAACATGAACTCATTCTTTTTTTATGGCTGCATAGTATTCGATAGTGTATATGCTGAACTTTTTGAATTTTAAGGTATTTTATAAAATATTTTACAAAGAATAAACACTATTAAAAGTGAGACAGCATTTAAACAATTTTGATTTCTTTGGACTGTATTTTTCTATTTTGAGTGGAATCTAAATTTTTATTTTTATAATACAAAATTGTTCTGTGTTGAGTAATTATTCCAAATGCTTTTTAATTTGTTCATATAACATACAATTATATGTAGTACATATTCTGACATGTTCTTATTAAAACTGTGATCTGAAAACATAATAATAAAAAAGAAAGAAACAGAACTCTGATTTCCCAAAATTCTTGTTGGAGCAGCTACATTATGGTTATGTGCAAAGTAATCCATTGATCTTTTCTAAAACATCCGTTCTCCTTGTGAACAACGAGAAGAAAATAGGCATTTGCTCCCACTGGCAAGGCTCTTCTTACTAGCAGTCACTTAAAGAAAGTGATGTTATTTTATTTATCAGAACTTCCGAAATGGACCTCCACAATGGTTCAATCATTAATTGAGTTTTCCTAGAACAGGACTTTTTAATTCACATGAAACAAGCAACTATTCACTACACAGCTTTTATAGATAAAGATTTTTTTCTCAAAATGATTTATATCTGTTACATTTTAACTTTAGAATAATTTCTCTTTAGTTATATGTTTTCCTTTCATTTTCAGTTGTCATGTAATAATTGTACATATTTATAGGATACAGAACAATATTTCAATACATGTATTCCATGTGTAACGATCAAATCAGAATAATTAGTATATTCATCACCTCATACATTTATCATTACTTTGTGTTGTAAACATTCAAAATACTCCCTTCTAGTTTTTCAAAATATAAAATAAAGTGTAGTTAATCATGTTCACCCTACAGTGATGCAGAACACCAGGGCTTTGGAATGATTTCTAGTCAGTGTTTGAAATATTTTTTTCTAAAGGTCTATGGGTTTCAGAAACATTTTTTATGTGTAGATTATCCCATGTCTCCTTTTAATAAACCAGTGGATATTACAGTTGTACAATTCAAATAAGTAGCGAATTTGCTTAAATACAAACTATATTTATTTGAAACTCCATTGGAAATGAATTAATTGGATCTTATAATTTTACTTTTCCTCCTTTGCGTTTTAAGTTGACTTTGTCTAATGGTGATATCATTTCAAATTCTTTTGACAGGGAAAGAAATACATAAGATTAAACAAACATTCTTTGCTATCATAAGTTTTCATGAATTGCTTAGTTTGGAAAACTGGAGAATTGAATGATGCATTTTTTCCTTCATTTATTTTCCTTTATGTGATTTTATTAAATATAAAGCGGCATGATCCAAACATCATGACGTGTGCATGCACAAAAGACAGAGCGAGAGAGAAAGAAAGAACATTAGACAGCATGACAAAGAAAGAAAGGGAAGGAAGGAAGGAAGGAAGGGAGGGAGCGAAGGAGGGAGGGAAAAGAAAAAGATACTCAGGAAAAGATGCAAAAACAATGAAATAGAAAGACCAAAAAGCATACACACAAAGACACAGAAACAAGAAAATAAGAAAAATAAGAAGATTCACTAATTTTATAATTTTTTCTCAGAATGTACATCTATACAAAGAGATATTCCCTCCCTCCCCTGGGCATAAGGTCTTGGTAAGTTGCAGGTGCAGCATGCACTAATGCATGATATTTTAGAGTATGGGCCCTAGAGTCAGATAGAACCAAAAAGTAATTTAAATTCTGCAATTTATTAACTATATGACCTTGGTTAAGTTACTCAACAATTCAAAATTTCAGTTTCATCATATGTAATACAGGAAAAAATAATGTTACCACCTCCTTTGTGATAAATATATAGCTTTAAAAATGCTTAGCAGGGTATCTAGTACACAACCACACTTTTCTATATTCTAAAGCTTGAAAGATGCCAATTGATTGTTTACAATCTTTGTCACTCTTCAACCAACAAAAAAGAATGAGGAAAGAGATTAAGAAAGGAATAAACATGTCTGAAATCCACTTGTTCCTCTATGTGTAATATTGGATTGCAAAGCCTAGACTTATAATTTATTAATGGCATAAAACAAATGTCATTAAGTAAGCCCTACCACAAAATATCAGAACAAAAACACTCAACAGATCTTTAAAATGACATTGCCTATATATTTTGTGTCTCTCAGTTGAGATTATATCTTGGAATTAATTTGAAGGAGAAGAGTTTTCGAGAATAAAAGTCAACACCTGGGAGTGTGAGATGGTTTTGTGAACAAAAGTTTAAAATTTTTGCTTTGATTCAAATGTCTAAATCAATAAATAAAAATTGCTAGATGTAAGTTAAAACAGTAATTTAATATGTATGGATTTTAAATATTTTTATCTCAGGACTGGGGAGCTGACAACTCACAGGCAAAACACTGCTTTGCTCATTTTACTTCATGACCTGTATTTTAGCCTACTTTTAAAGTTTGAGTTTTTCCCCATATTATATTTTTTGAGACCTGGGGTGAAATTCCTAACACACATACAATTTTTTTTCTTTCCCTCAACTTTATCCCACCCCATGACTGAACTCTACACACCAATATTCTCTTCCACGATAGATATTTAGGAAAATAATTTTCAAAAATAATGTAGAATAATTACTTAGCTTATATGATGTCCTTGTGGAAATGTTTTATGATATACTTTCCTTTCACTAACACACAGTCTGAAAAAAAACTTCTCCTCTCTTCTCACTGTACATTTCTCTGATGTTAGCAGTTTTTACTTTTTGCTGCAATAATTGATTTTCTCGTCTATTTTTCTCCACTAGTTTATAAATGTATTGAAAGAAGCTATTGTTACTTATTCATCATTGAATAGTCAGAACATAGCATTCTATGTGGTTTTGTACTAAGAATTCAATCCATACTTGAAATAGTAAAAAAATGAAGGGGTGAGTAAATGACATGACTATAAAGGGACAAAATAATGGAAAGCCACATTTCTTACAGGAAGCATTAGAAAGACAATTTTTAAGCACTACTTGTGTCTATAATTTTTGCAAAGACAAAAATAGATACATTTTTGGCTTATTCTTACTTCTTACGGTTTTTTTCTTGCCTTCACAAAATCTCTTAGAACATACCATATATTATGGCTTAGTATAATGAAAGGGTTCCAATAATTGGATCGGCTAGAAAAATGGAGAATAAGTAGATTCCCCCATCAATAGTTCTTGTTAAGATAAATGCATTGCAACATTTTTTGTCATGTCAGTCCTTTCAAGCTTCTTTCTCATCATCATACACAACAGAGAACCTACTCAGTCAATGCCATGTTTTTAAGGTTCAAGTCAATGGAGAAGCGTAAGAAAATCAATTTGTAAATTTATAATTCATGATTCAGGCTGGAATATTGTTCTTGTTTACAGCTATTTCTTTATGATGCTAACTAATTGGAACTATCAGAAGGCATGTAACAATTATTTTTGGTATGTATGTCAATCCCAGTAAAATACAAGTTATACGGTAAGGTTTCATTATTTGGTTGTAAAAACACAGCATAATGTTATTAAAGAAGCTAAGGTTAATTATGCATTATTTTAAATCAAATGTTAAGAGTAACTAGAGTTTAGCTCATGACACAGCCATGAATATTGTCCAACATTAATGGACTAAATCATCAGGTAGGTCACCTAAAGCTTTAATTGCTTGGGTGCTTTTAGGGAAGTACCCTAAAAATAACATTTGTGAGATGTTAAAAGTATCAATAACGTTTTAACTCACCATATGTTAACATTTTCTTATTTATTTTGGCATTGAGAAATTACAGAAAAGCAGAAATCAATGTTGAAATTAGCCTTATTAAATAGTTGATATAAATCTTTGGGGAATAATCAACTCTATAGTTAGCTTATTCTTTTCAAAATTGTTGTAATAAATGATAATACTCTATATAGGTATATATTTAGTTTAACATTTTTGTGTACCTTCAAGAATGTTTTACAAGTCCAAATCAATGATCACATTTTTTCTTAGTTCATACTATCACTAGATTGAAAGAATAGCTGAAGTAGGATTTCCAGAAAAATACTCATTTCTATTTGATTTTTAGATACACAATTAGTAATTTTTATAGTGTATATGTATGTAATACTTCACACAGTCTTAGCCTAAAAATATTGGTTAACTGAATTTCAAATTTAAATATTTTCTTGTATTTTTAATAGGTAAACTTGGGAAGCCTAACTGTAAGAGTACTCCTAGAGTAGATTATGATAATTAAATATTTTACCCCCTCTAAGTGCTCTACTCTTTTGAAACTATGAGCATTAAGCACAACAATTCTGTTACTATTGCCTGAGATTCACTCCATGATATGCTGTCTCATGGCCTTCAGAATATTTGGAAATGATTAAGGCCTATTCGGCAAAAAGAGAAAAGAAAAGAAGAAAACTGATAGCTGGAGTTAGATTTATGCAAAGATAGTGCAATTTGTTTTTGTTTGTGGCAGCATTTTATGAAACATGGTGAAAAAATGCTATAATGATAAAGCTAGAATACCATTTAAAGAAGACTTAGTAGAATACAGTTAGTGAATCCCAAATGCATCTGGCTTTTGTCCTTTACTGCTAGGAGGTAATCTCTGAGCCATTAGAGTGTCATGCCTAATAGCACTATCTTTGTTTGTTCAAGGGCCTTGGGGCAGCTAGATAGTAATACTGTGATTTGGGTGAGAGAATTGAGCCACACCAACAATGTAATTAGCATCTGGACATTGGGTCACCTTAACCTCCTGAGAGGTTAGAGACTGAGGTCAGCCACTTGGGGAGTCAACCAGGCTTATGTGATAGAACCCCAGTAAAAACTGGACACCAAGAGCTTCACTGGTTCAAAATATTCCATGTGTATTGTCACACATCATTTCCAAATAGCATTACCACTGTCTATCACTCAACGGGAAAGGACATTTAGAAGTTTGGAACCCTCCTGAACTCTGCCCTATGCATTTCATCTTTTGGATGATTTTTATCTGTACCCCGATCTCCCTGTTATAAATTGTAACCATGAGTATAATGGTTCTCAGTAAATTCTGTGAGTGCTAGCAAATTATCAAAACTGAGGAAAGTTTTGAGAGCTCTCTAAACCTGCAATTGAGGATGGTTTTGTATAGTCTGTTCCTTCAAACTTTGCAGTTGGTTAACTCTAACGCACTTCAATCCTGTTTTACTCTAATGGAATGTCAATTAGATTAGTTAAGGAAAAAAAATGTTCATAAACAAATAAACACAAAAAGGGAATGGACTGATTTTATACCGGTTATTTGTTGCTCATAATAAACCAGCTCAAAAATCTGTGGCTTGAAACAATGTGTTATCCCTTTCTCTCTCCATAAGGCTATCTTGGGTTTATTCACAGAATAGTAACCTCAAGTGATGGAGATATTTTACATAGGGCTGATATTCCCCTGGAGTAAACATTCTAACACCACATGATAATTTGCAAGGATTCTTAAGATATGGCCTTAATTGTCACCCAGTATCAATTGCTCTGCATTCTATTAGTAAAAAGCTAGTCATACTGCTAGTACCAGTTCAAAAAAAATTGTCTACAAAAGGGTATAAATACTAGAAGGCATCATTTACTCGGTGACCATTTTAGAGATCAGAAAAAAATACTCAATGTGACATCAGGAAAATAATTACCCACGAGAAATTAACAAAACACCAAGATTTTTAAATTAAATACACTTAATTACATTAAAAAAAACTGAGAAAGTATGTGACTAGCTGATTTCCAATAAAAGAAATTTTAAATGAATTCTATGGTCAGAAAGAAAATAGTCCCAGATGGAAGCATTGTGATACAAGTATTAAGATGAGCACAAAGATGTACATTTGTTGCCAAATCAAGTAAGTATTGACTGAGTAAAACAATGATAATAATGTCTTATAGGCCTATGAGATTTAAACAACAAAAAAAGAGATAGATACAAATACTGGAAAATATTACTATGAAATTTTGAATAGAATATTTAGAATTAAATATTATACAGTGATTATATTTTTCTGGAGAAAAAATACATTTATTAACTTTAGAATGTGGTAAGTTATGTGTGTTTATCTAGCATATAAAAAATGTTAAAACTCAGAGTATTATTTCTAAGTGCTGAGAAGAGAAATAGAATGTGAATGTCTACTGAATTGATTTCAAACTTGTCCAGAAAAGGAAGAACATAAGTCCAAAAGAAAGCATAAGACAGGAAAACACAGACAATATTTTCAGCCCAAAGCAAAGATTTTCAGCAAAAAAATTCCAAGGATTCATATTAAAACAATCCAAAATTAAAATTTAGCAGGCAAATACAAACAAAAAATAAGTTGTAGAACTTAACTATAATTCCTAATATGACTGTGAACAAAAGTTATAACTAGAGATAAAGTGATCACCAAAAAGATTTCTTAAAATTTTAATTTAGCAGAAAATTATAACAAATCAATCATGTATGATTCATTAGCATAGCATCAAATTATATAACACATAAGTCAAAAATTAACATAATTGTGGTAAGAAATAGATATGTAGTATGAAGTTTTTACATGTTTTATAAGTGGTAGATTAAGTGTGCAAAAAGTTAAATTTAAAGGAATTATCTAACACTACAAGCTTGATCTAATAGACTATATGTAAAAATCTACTCGAAAAGTTAATAATACAAAGCATTTTCAAGAACATACAAAACATTAAAAACTATGATTTTTTTGAAAGAAATATAAAATAATCTTTAAAGCCAGAAAAAGAAAGTATAAAAATATTACTGTGAGAATTAATAGTACTATAATCTCAATTTTTTTAATTTTATTATTATTATACTTTAAGTTTTAGGGTACATGTGCACAATGTGCAGGTTTGTTACATATGTATACATGTGCCATGTTGGTGTGCTGCACCCACTAACTTGTCATCTAGCATTAGGTGTATCTCCCAGTGCTATCCCTCCCCCCTCCCCCGACGCCACAACAGTCCCCGGTGTGTGATGTTCCCTTTCCTGTGTCCATGTGTTCTCATTGTTCAATTCCCACCTATGAGTGAGAACATGCGGTGTTTGGTTTTTTTGTCCTTGTGATAGTTTGCTGAGAATCAATGTGCAAAAATCACAAGCATTCTTATACACCTTATGCTATATACCTTAGCATTAGGTATATAATTTGGCTCTCAACAATAGCCAGCCACAGGCCTGAGGTAGTGGTGGCCATGGGGAGAGACTCCTCTGTTTGTGGAGGAAAGAGTGAGAAGGAATTTGTCTTGCGGCTTTGGTACCAGCTCAGCCACAGCACTAGGAAGATTCCTAAGGTTTCCAACTCGAGGCTCTGACTCCTCGATGGTATCTCCAGACCTGCCTGGAACAAGGCAGAACTTGTCACCCTGAAGGAAAGGACAGAAGCCTAGCTGGCTTTGCTTCCTACTGATTGTAGAACCCTAGGGCCTTGAGTGAACATAGATGGTAGGCAGGCAGTGGTTACTGCAGGCCTTGGGTGAGACCAAATACCATGCTGGCTTCAGGTCTGACAATCCTAGTCATGGTGTCCACCGTGGTGTTTGTATGATCTCTCCCCCAGGCAGGTCAGCACAGACAGACAGACTCCATTTGTCTGGGAGAAATTAAAAGATGAGAGCAAGGATCTCTGCCTGGTCATTCAGAGAATTCTTCCAGATTTTATCTGAGACCATGAAGATCATATCCCTACAAGTCTGGAAGAGCCACAGTGTTATGAGGCATGGGGTGCTCCCTAATGTAGACACAGCTGCAGAGACCAAAAACAGATTACAACACTCAAGTCCTTTCGAATACTTGGAAAGCTTTTCTGAGGAGGATATGTACAAACAAGCTGAAACTGCAAAGACTACAATAAATACTTAACTCTTCAATGCCAACACACTGACAAACATCCACAAGCATTCAGACCATCCAGGAAAACATGACCTCGATCAAACAAACTAAATAAGGCATGAGGGACCAATCCTGGAGAGACAGATAGATGTATGTGACCTTTTTTTTTTTTTTTTTTTTTTTTTTTGGAAAATGAATTCAGATTAGCTGTTTTGAGGAAACTCAACAAAATCCAGGATAACACAGAGAAGGAATTTGGAATTTTATCAGATAAATTTTACAGAGATTGATATAATTTAAAAGAATCAAGCAGAAATTCTGGAGATGAAAATACAATTGACATACTAAAGAATGCATCAGAACCTCTTATCAGCAGACGTGATCAAGCATAAGAAATAATTAGTAATCTTGAAAACAGGCTATTTGAAAATACACAAAGGACTGTGATTATAAATAATCAAAGGATTATGTATAAAAGATAAAAGAATTTAAAAATTGTAACATGCCTGCAAGATCTAGAAAATAACCTCAAAAGGGCAAATTTAGGAGTTTTGGGCCTTAAGGGAAAGGGAGAGAGAGAGATGGGGTAGAAACTTTATTCAAAGGGATAATTAATTGAGTACTTCTCAAACCTAGAAAAAATATCAGTATTCAAGTAAAAGAAGATTATAAAATACTAAGCATATTTAACACAAAGAAGAGTATCTCAAGATATTTAATAATCAAACTCCCAATGGTCAAAGATAAAGAAAGGATCCTGAAAGCACTAAGAGAAAGAAACAAACCATGTGCAATGGAGCTTCATTATATCTGGTAGCAGACTTCTCAGTGGAAACCTTAAAGCCCAGGAGACATTGGCATGACATATTTAAATAGTTGAAGGAAAAAAAAACATTTATTTAGAATAGTATATCCAGTGAAAATATCCTTCAAATATGAAGGAGAAATAAAGACTTTTCCAGACAAACAAAAGCTGAGGGATTCCATCAACACCAGATCTGTCTTACAAAAAATGTTAAAGAGAGTTATTGAATCTGAAAGAAAAGGATGTTAATAAGCAATAAGAAAGCAACTGAAGGTGCAAAACTTACTGGGAATAGTAAGTACACAGAAAAAGATAATATTATAATACTGTAATTGTAGTGTATAAACTACTCATATCTTAAGTAGAAAGATTAAAAGAATTGAACAAAAACAATAACTGAACAACTTTTCAAGATATAGCAAATACAATTAGATATAAACAGAAACAACAAAGAATTATAAAGTGGAGGACAAAGTTAAACCGTAGAAATTGTGTTAGTGTTGTCATTCATTGTTTGTTTATGCAATCAGTGTTAAGTTGATATCAGTTTAAAATAATGGGTTATAAGATATTATATGCAAGCCTCAAGATAACAAGAAGGAAGAGAAGACCAAAAAGCAATCATGAAACAAATAACAAAATGGCATGAGTAAGTCCTTACTTATCAATAATAACATGAATGCAAATAGAGTAAGCTCTCCAATCAGAAAGACATAGAGTGGTTAAACATTTTTTTTTAAAGACCCAGTGATTTGTTAGCTACAAGAAATACACTTTACTTTAAAAGACACTCATAAACTGAAAATAAAGGGATGGAAAAAGATATTTCAACAAATAGAAAACAAAGAAGAGCAGGAGTAGTTATGCTTATATCAGACAAAACAGATTTCAAGCAAAAGAAAAAAACTATAAAAAGAGAAGAAGAAGGTTTTTATACAATGATAAAAGGGTCAATACAGCAAGAGGATATAACAATGATAAACATATATGTACCTAACACTGGAGCACCCAGATATATAAAGCAAATATTATTAGAGCTACAGAAAGCTATAGACCCCAATACAATAATAGCTGGAGAATTCAACACCCCCAATTTCGGCATTGGACAGATCTTTCAGACATAAAATCAACAAACAAACATCAGACTTACTCTGCACTATAAACCAAATGGACCTAACAGATATTTACAGAACATTTTATCCAATGTCTACCCACATTGTGTCCTGGAGCTTATGGATCACTGTCAAAGATAGATCACATTTTAGGCCACAAAACAAGTCTTAAACATTCAAAAAATTTAAATTATATCAAGTATCTTCTTTGACTACAATGGAATAAACTAGAAATCAATAACAAGAGAAATTTTGAACACTCTGCAAACACATAGAAATTAAACCATATGCTTCTGAATGACCAGTGGGTCAATGAATAAATGAAAAAGAAAAATAAAAAAATTTTTTGAAACAAATGATAATGGAAACACAACATACCAATACCCATGGGATACAGCAAAAGCAGTACAAAAATAAATATTTATAGCTATAAGCACCTACATCAAAAAAGTAGAAAAACTTCAAATAAACAACCTAGCAATGCATCTTATATAACTAGAAAAACAAAAGCAAACCTGAACCTAAATTGACATTAGAAAATAAATAATAAATATCAGAACAGAAATAAAGTTGAAATGAAAAAAAATTAAAAATAAACAAAATGAAAAGTTGGTTTTTTGAAAAGATAAATAAAATTGGCAACTCTTTTGCCAGACTAAATAAGAAAAAAAAAGAGAGAAGACATAAACAAATAAAATCAGAGATGGAAAAGAAGACATTAAACCCAATACCGGGCGGGGCGCAGTGGCTCATGCCTGTAATCCCAGCACTTAGGGAGGCCGAAGTGGGTGGATCTCGAGGTCAGGAAATCGAGACTATCCTGGCTAACACGGTGAAACCCCGTCTCTACTAAAAATACAAAAAATTACCCGGGAGTGGTGGTGGGCGCCTGTAGTCCCAGCTACTCAGGAGGCTGAGGCAGGAGAATGGAGTGAACGTGGGAGGTGGAGCTTGCAGTGAGCCTAGATTGCGCCACTGCACTCCAGCCTGGGCGACAGTGCAACACTCCGTCAGAAAAAAAAAAAAAAAAAAAATGGAAATTCAAGCGATCATTAAAGACCACTGTGAGCAACTACATGTCAATAAATTGGAAAATTCAGAAAAAATGGATAAATTCCTAGACACATACAACCTGCTAAGATTGAATCACAAAGAAATCCAAAACCTGAGCAGACCAATAGCAAGTAATGAGACTGAAGCCCGTAATAACGATCTCCCAGGAAAGGAAAGCCCATGACCCTAAGCTTCACTGCTGAATTCTACCAAACATATAAAGAAGAACTAATACCAGTCATACTCAAACTGTTCCAAAAAATAGAGAAAGAGGGAATACTTCCAAACTCATTCTAGGAAACCAGTGAATGAGTCCAGCATTACCCTGATACCAAAACCAGACAAAGCTACTCAAATAAAGAAAACTACAGGCCAATATCCCTGACGAAAATTGATGCAAAAATCCTCAATAAAATACTAGAAAACCAAATTCAACAACACATTAAAAAAATCATTCATCATGACCAAGTGGGATTTATTCCAGGGATGCAAGGTTGATTCAACATATGCAAGGTTGGTTCAACATATATAAGTCAATGTGATACATCATTGCAACAGAATGAAGGACAAAAAAATCATATGATCATTTCAATTTTACTGAAAAAACACTTGACAAAATTCAGCCTTTATTTATGATCAAAAAACTGTGTATGGAAGGTACATACCTCAACACAATAAAAGCCATATGACAGAACCACAGATAGTATCATACTGAAAGTGGAAAATCTGAAAGCCTTTTTTCTAACATCTGGAACACAACAAGGATGCCCACTTTCACCACTGTTATTCAATATAGTACCGGAAGTCCTCGCTAGAGCAATCATACAAGAGAAAGAAATAAAGGGCTTCCAAATTGGAAAGGAATAAGTCAAATTATCCTTGTTTGCATATGATTTGAGCTTATATTTGGAAAAACCTAAAGACTCCAGCAAAAATTATTAGAATTACTAAACAAATTCAGTAAAGTTGGAGGATACAAAATCAACGTACAAAAATAGTAGCATTTCTACATGCCAAAGCAAACAATTTGAAAAATAAATCATAAAATAATCTCATTTAAATTAGCTACAGATAAAGTAAAATACCTAGGAATTAATTTAACCAAAGAACCAAAAGATCTCTATGATGAAAACTCTAAGACATTGGTGTAAGAAACTGAAGAGGCCACAAAAAAACTGAAAAGCTATTCCATGTTCTTGAATTGAAATAATGAATATTGTTAAAATGCTCATACTACCTAAAGCAATCTGCAGATTCTATGGAATCCCTATCAAAGTACTAATAACATTATTGACAGAGATAGAAAAAAATCCTAGAATTTATATGGAACCACAAAAGATTCAGAATAGTCAAAGCTATCCTGAGCAAAAGGAACAAAACTAGAGGAATCACATTACTTGATTTCAAATTATACCACAGAGCTATAGTAACCAAAATACCATAGTACCAGTGTAAAAACCAACACATAGACCAACAAAGCAGAATGTTGAGCCTAGAATCAAATTCATACATCTACAGTGAAATCATTTTTGACAAAGGTGCCAAGAACATATACCAGAGAAAAAACAATCTCTTCAATAATTGGTGCTGGGAAAAAAATGGAGATCCATATGCAGAAGAATGAAACTAGACCCTTATCTCTTGCCATGTACAAAAATCAAATCAAAATGGATTAAAGACTTAAATCTAAGACTCAAAACTATGAAACTACTGAAAGAAAACATTTGGAAAATTCTCCAGGACATTGGACTGGGCAAGAATTTCTTGAGCAATACCCCACAAGCACAAGCAACCAAAGCAAAAATGAACAAATGGGATCACATCAAGTTAAAAACTTCTGTACAGCAAAGGTTACAATCAACAAAGTGAAGAGACAATCCACAGAATGGGGAAAAATTGCAAACTACCCAACTGACAAGGGACTGATAATCAAAATATATAAGAAGCTCAAACAGCTATATAGGAAAAAAAATCTCACAATCCAATTAAAAATGAGCAAAATATCTGAATAGATATTTCTTGAAAGAAGACATACAAATGGCAAACAGGTATATGAAAAGGTGCTCAACATCATTATGAGAGAACTACAAATCAAAACTACAACAAAATATCATGTCACCCCAGTTTAAATGGCTTTTCTTCAATAGACAGGAAATAATGAATGCTGGCAAAAATATGGAGAAAGGGGAACCCTCGAACACTGCTGGTAGGAATGCAAATTAATATAGCCACACTGGAGAAGAGAACAGTTTGGAGGTTCCTCAAAAACAAAACATTGAGCTGCCATATGATCCAGCAATCCCACTGCTAGCTATATACTCAGAAGAAAGGAAATCAGTATATGAAAGAGATATCTGCACTCCAGTGTTTATTGCAGCCCTATTCACAATAGACAAGATTTGGAAGTAAACCAAGTGTCCATCAAAAGATGTATAAAGAAAATATAGTACATATACACAATGGAGTACTATTCAGCCATAAAAAAGAGTGAGATCCTGTCATTTGCAAAAACATAGATGGAACTAGAGGTCATTATGTTAAGTGAAATAAGCCAGGCACAGAAAGACAAATTTCATATATCTCATCTATTTGTGGGTGCTAAAAATTAAAAAAAAGGAAAATTAACTCATGAAGATAGTAGCAGAATGGTTACCAGAGGCTGGGAAGGGTAGAAGGGTGTGCCTAGGGGCGATGTTTAGTTGGTGCAAAAATATAATTAGAATAATTCAGATCTAGTATTTGATAGCACAACAGTGTGACTACAATCAACAATAATTTATTATACCTTTAAAAATAACTGAAAGAATATAATTAGATTGTTTGTAACTCAAAGAAAGGATAAACGCTTGAGGTGACGGATACCTAATTGACTCTATTGTGACTTTTATGCATTTATGCCTGTTTCAATAGATCTCATGTACCCAATAAATATATGCACTTAGTATGTACCCCCCAAAAATTAAAAATTAAAAAAGCCTTCTGGACAGAATTGTAAAAAAAGAAAATAAAATAAAAGAATTTATTTTTAAAGTTTTAGGTTTATACACAAAGATACATTGATAATTTTGTGTTTGTAAAATCTTTCAAAATTTATAACTGCAATATTAAAATTCTAAACCAGATTAATTTAGGAATCTTAACTTACTGATGAAAAAATTATGTTTTATTTTTTGTAGGAACTGCTATTGCTGAGTTTT
The DNA here is from genome assembly GCF_000001405.40 of Homo sapiens. Taxonomy (NCBI): domain Eukaryota; kingdom Metazoa; phylum Chordata; class Mammalia; order Primates; family Hominidae; genus Homo; species Homo sapiens. The sequence continues at coordinate 62,394,463 of NC_000006.12, read as the reverse complement.
CTGTTAAGTGCCCCTTTTCTGTGTTTGACATGTACTTTAACAATAACTTTGCCTGAGCCCATAAAGTGTTTGTTGTTTTGGTTATTCAAAATGTCTTATTTCAGTAATTAAAACTTGGTCTTGTTTATTTAAATTCTTCAATTTTACATTTCATTCAAAACATTCATTTTCTCTATCCCAGAGATGTTAGGCTAAGAGCTTCAGTTGTGAGGGTTGGAGAGGGCAGTGGTCTCTCCTTTCACAGTAGGCTCTTTCCAACACTCTTACTCTCATCTTGGTGCAGCAGGTAAAGAGGGCAATGACATTTCTTTATGCACTTAGCCTTGTGGGCTAGGACAATGTGAGTAGCCCCATACCCTACATATAAATGATTGTGAGGAAGCTCTAGTGTTGCTAGTTTTCATTATTTCTTTGCCTTGCACTGTTTAGGTCTTTGTTTCTTCTTCTGTATTTCGTGTGTCCTAATGCCATCTCACTCTTGGTGATGCATTTTTCTGGTTTGTTAACGAACTGGCTTCTCTCCCTGTATGATCTCCCGGCATAGACGAACCATTTGAAGTGCAACTTCTTGTTTTCTTCCTCATGCCAAACCTTGCCTCTAGCTATCTACCTTACAGCCTTGTGCAGTTGGGATATTCTCCCAGTAGGTGGCCCATTTGGAGGAATTGGCAAGAATGCTTAAGCCCCTGGAACCATCCAAAGTGTCTATGAGACCCATGAGGAAGGACTTACCATTGATATGTTAATTAGAGAGAATCTAGGCTTTAATTTCCACTCTACCTCCTCTTCTTTGCCTCTTTTGTGCCCTCACAGTGGAAAAGACTGAGCTGTTTTAGTGTTTCAGCAATTTCCTGATAAGAGGACATCACTTATAAAAGCTTAGCAAATGCATGTTTCAGGCACTTTCTACAGGAGAAAATGAAAGGAAAACAGATGAGATGGTTACTGCTATAAAAATCACATTTTTTTTAAAGACCACACTTTTTCATTTCTGGTGTAGCATGTGTGTGTGTGTGTGTGTGTGTGTGTGTGTGTGTGTGTGTGTATGTATGTTGATAGTAAAGTTTACCAAAAAAAGGTTAACCTTCCTTTTTAATACCAGAGAGCATAAGAATCTTATATGAAGAAACAGGTATTGTTCTAATTCTAGAGCATTTAGCAACTTCTTTGTATCTCCACTTAAATCACTGCATTATTTGAGTTAGCCCTCAATCGGTATCTCGCAATTACTTTTAAAAGAGTTTGTGTTGGAGATTTACAAAAATAGGAATAAATTATCCATGAGACATTTGATCTTCTTCAATCATCTATAAGCACAAAGGTATACAGAATCTTAGAGGATTTAATATTATCGGGGATGATATGGGGACATTCTATCTGAAGAGTTGGATAGCTAAGGTTCCTTTTGGGCCATTTTCAGATGCATAGTTGACATTTCAGCATAAATAAAATATTCAAAGTAGCATGAAAGGTGCAAATTAAGATTGGTAATAACTCTGGCATCAGTTATATTAATATCATATTCTGAAGTTATTATCCCATACAAAATTCTCTTGCGAAAGACAAAGAATGAGCTATGTAATTACACAAAATATAGGCATCTTACAATTGCTTCCTGTGAAAGCTCTTTGAATGATTACTCTCCATGTGAATATTTTAGTAGTTGTAACTATCTAATTAGAAAGACTTAGGCAGAGTAAATTAAAAAGTGTATTACATTTATTGTAACTCTTGAATAAATCACACCAGTGGTTAAGCAAAGGAAAAGTCTTCAGAAGTGTAAATCAAAGTGAAGAAAAATATACTATTTTTGGTTTTGTAGTACTTTCTGAGCTCCTCAGACTGACAGATTGTCATCACCATATCTATGTCTCTAAGAAACATGGCTGGTTTTCTCATTGTCAAAGAGCAGAAAAGCGGTTTTCTGGTAACAACAGTCGCATTTCTGACATCCCTTCACACCAAATTTGACACAAATGGAACACAACATCCTATAATTTTCCAAAAAGTGGCCCCAGTGATATGACACCATCTTAAATTACTGTCGGCTCTATTCCCAGAGCTAATGGCTTACTGCTGAGAGAGGCAAAGCTGGAGATGAAATTCTCTCATGATGACTGCATGGGATCTTTCTCAGTATTGGGAGTTGTTAGTTTTCAACAATGCTCTGATTATCACTATATACAAAAAAAAATGCAAAAGCAAACAGAGACATTTTAGTACTAAAGAAGGTTTGTTTTTCTTAGAAAACTATAATCATCAAATAATATATGCTAATTATCAATTCATCCCTACATTTGTAGCTAAAACTCCATGGTAATGAGATTATTTGTACATTGAATTCTATTCTAACAGACCTTAACTTTCTCAAATATAAAACTAATTACAGAGCACACTGTCTCACATCATTCCATCTCCCAAATAACCTTGTAAGGTAAATGATTTTACTATTCTACAAAGAAGGAATTGAGACTTGCAAATAATACTCACATTTTTTTCAAACCACATAGGTAGTACATTTTAGTAGTGGAACTTGAAGCTGAGTCCACTTCAAGATCAATGCCTTTCCTAATATATATCATGGTTGTGTCCACCACGTGAAAGTGCAATTGGTGAGATGGTGGGAGGACCTACCTCTAAAGGTTTCAAGCAAACTCAGATATGGGACTTGGATTTTGGAAAACATATAATATATTGGTTTGTGAATAAATGTTTTTGAGAACATTGAAAATTATGTGTTGATTTCATTATGGAGGAACTCATCTGAACTACTTACCATCAAAAATAAAGACATACAATTTGATGCTTGATGCGCTTTAATTATTCATTGAAAAGAGCAGGAACTGAGACTGAAACATGTTCTAAAGTCGGATTTCAGGTGTGTGTGGTTGTCTCTCTTAGGACAACTCTGTTTCTGTTCCATCATTGATACTTACAGTCTAGAGTATGCAATTGTTATGTCTCAGAAAAAAAGTAAGAGGAAATACCTGCTGCTTGCAGCATCTTACAGTTTTTTTTTTTCAGTAAGTAATTCAAAGTTTATATAGAATGCCAAAAACCAACCACTTAGAAGTGATAAACAATCTAACCTGGCAAATCAAAAAGGGACATTAGCATTTGATTTACTATCTCAGTGGCTCTCTCACCACTCTATTGATTAGTGAGGTGACAAAAATAGGAATCAAGAAACTGAGACAGAGGAAGATAATTCTGTTTTAGCATGCTGTTAACCTCATATCAGAAGAAACAAGAGAGTGGCTTTGGTGTTTGAATGGCCATTAGCTATCTGCCATGTGACCAAGGAGGAAATACAAACTTTGTGACCTTGAGAGTCACAACCACTTCTTAATTTTGTCTCATTTATAATGTGGAACCAGATTAGAAGAAAGTCTTTTTTAAGTTAATAAAACATAAGCAATAGTGTCTGAGAGGAAATTGTCAGCTACTTAGCCATTTCCTTTTAGTGTTGCATTTTTTAAGAGTATCTTCCAACTATGGTATAAAACCTTACTTTCACAATAAAATGATATGGTTCTTTTGAAAATAATTTGCCAAGGGCTTTGGGTACTATAATCAGTACTAAATGAAACAAAAAATCCTATGATAATGATGTCCTGGGAGGCGGTCAATATTCTGACACTAAACAAATGCTCACATCTTTGCTTCACTGGAAACAAGAGCAAATGCCAGAAGGAAGTATGTTTTGAGGAAATAACAACTAGGAAATAACAACAGTAGGAAGCCAGGACTAGTATGTGTAGCAACTAGAGATGAGAAAGCTCAATTTGAGCTAAATTATCTGGCCATCCATGAGGCATATTATGACTCACTTTCTGAGTCCAACCTGTAAGTAATCATATGAGTCAGTTATTTCCATCATTGGGCTCCACCTCTGTGTGCAGGTGTAGCTCTGAGTAAACATAGGGAAAACTATAAGACTTATGACATACTTAATGATAGTGATGGCTTTTGGATTATTAAATGCATGTTTCAATAAGTTAGTGGCTATTTGGATATGGTCTCTGTACCTTTGAAATTGCAAATGGACAGCCATTACCATACTTGAACTTCAGGTCATTTTTAAAAGCAAGTGCTTCTTATGAACATTAAATCAAAGTGAACATAAATAAGCAATAACACCCTATCTTATTAATAATGGAATTAAGAACCATATTATAAACTGTGATTATAGCATACACTGAATAAATCCTTTTGATATGTGAAGGACTGCCTGACTAGTGTCATTTATCTGATAATGGGATATATTTTACTGATGCAATGTTTTAGTTAGATAATTATAGGTTTAGTCCTTCTTGTTATAATTTGTGAGAAAATAGTCCCATTAAAGTATCCCAAACACACTGGTAGGCAAAAGAACAAATCTACTATCAAATAAATGCTTTTAACTAGCTTAATAACAGGATGGGCCCATTGTTTGATAGGTGTTCTAGAAACACTGAATTAATTGCATTGTCCAAAAATGCTCATGTCAATTAACTTGAAGAGGGAAATGATAATAATGTATTTCATTGCAGACATTTACTAAAGAATAACATTTTCATATCTATTTAGACTGTGGAGGTTCTTGTGATAAAATAGGGAGCCTCACTTTCATCTGTGCAATATAGGAAAAAAGAGGATACAGTCTCTTTTTTCTACCAGGTGAAGTTGCAAACCTCCCAGGTGACTTTGTAGATTACAGTAAGATATTATTGTATTTACTCTACAGTTTATAATATTTCTGATTCATGATGTAGCCAACTGTTTCAACAGAACCATATTCAAAGTCAGAACAGCTCATATATAAAGTGCAGATAATAATACACATGACCAGTATAGTAAAGATTAAATAAAATAATGCACATTAAACTGTTTTAAAATTATAAGTATTACTTAAAATTGTAGAAGTAAAACTTTCTATTGATCTCAATATTTCTAAGGTAATTAGTCTCTGAATTTAATTCTACCTATTTTTTGTCTGGTTATAGCAACATTAATTGAAGTATAATTTACATGTAATAAATCAAACAGATTTTAAGACCACAGTATCATGAGTTTTGAAAATGTACACCATTTAACCATTATGAAAATAAATATAAAGGAAATTATCATCATATAATAAAGTTCCTTTTCAACTATTTTTAGACAATCTCCACCCACTTGTCCCTGTCAGAGACTAACAGTTCTTATTTATATTATTACAGTTTAGTTTTCCTATTCTTGAACTTTATATAAATGCAATTATACAGTACTAGTTGTATATATACCTGACATAATTACTTTTTGATACTTCACAAAGTTGCAAACCACCAGGTGACTTCCTGGATTATGGTAGCATATTATTTCATCTATTTTCCTTTTCTTTTTTTAGAAAAAAATAAATAGTAAAACTCCCTTTACCCTTGGAAGAGAGATAAGACATAGTCCTAAACCTAGGCCATTAGAATTTGTTTGTATTTTACAGCTGGAGGATGAACAGAATTATTTCAAAAGCCTCCACCACCAAGACACGGAGATGGAGGGCCAATTTAAGACTAAAGCTAGATACAGTAGAGCACCCAACGTATTTTCCACAACCAGACTGGCAAACACCAAGAAACCAGCAGCCTCTGTCTACTGCTAGGGAAGAGCAAAAGACTTGAGAGAGGTAATGAGGTACTTAGGGTGGAATAGAAAGATGGAGCAAAATTACCGGGCAATCAAGTTCTCGCTTTACAAGGTAAAGGTAGGCAAATTTGAAACTGGAAGTGCACTGAGGGTACCTATAATAAAAATCCAAACCCATCTCAACATGTGACTAGATTGACTCTCCTCCTCACATTTAGTGCCAAGTAGAAAAAGAGATATATGCCTGTTTCCAGGTCAAAAATAATTTACCAATGTTAATATTGTCATACACACAATATGTGAAATATAATGAAAAACTGAAGACATACAAAATGCAAACATAAAGAAGCCATTGTAAAAATACAAAGCAATGAATAAAATAAGATTCAGAGATCACCTATATGTTGGAACCATTAGACAAAAATTTTCATATAACTTAGATTAATGTGGTAAAGACTCTGGTAGACCAGGTACAGAACATGGAAGAGCAGACGGATAATGCCAGGGGAGAGACGAGAGCTAAAAGAAAGACTCCATTTGAATTGCTAGAAAAATAATGCTAACACAAATGAAGAATATCTTGAATAGGTTCATCAGTAAATGTGACACAAACTTGGATAGAGCAGGTGAATTTGAAAGAAGGTCCGTAGAAATTATTCAACCTGAAGCACAAAGAGAGGAGAGAGAGAAAATGTAAACCAAATATGTAAGATTATATCAAGTGGCCTATTTTACATTTATTTAGAATGGCTAGCTGAAAGAGAGGAGAAAACCAACATTTGAAGTGATAACGGTCAATAGTTGAAGTGATAATGGCCAAGAATTATACAAAAATTATAAGACACCAAGTACAGATATAACCTCAGATAATTTCAAACAGGGTGAGTACAACCACACACACACACACGCGCGCACACACACACACACACCTAGATACATTATATTCGAACAGCTAAAATAAAAGGTAACAACCAAGTTTTGAAGGCACCGTGGGGCAGGGCAGGGCAGGGAGGCAGGAGACATATTACATGCAGGGTAAGTTAGATAAAAAAAAATACAGCAAACATTCTATCAGAAACTATACAGGCAGAAAGGCAGTAAACTGGCATATTTTAAAATGGAGAAATAAAAACAAATATCAACCTAGAATAATATACTCAGGGACAGTGTCTTTAAAAAATAAAGGAGACAAGACATTTCAAAATATAAGAAATTGAAGGACTTTATTGCCAGCACACTTGCATTATAAGAAATGTTAAAGGAAGTTCTGCAGGCAGAATAAATATGATATGAGACAGAAATTTGAATCTACAAAAATGAACATCTATGGAGATGGTCCAGAATAGATACAGAAACCTCTAACAACTCAATAAAATAAAAGGCGAATTTTAAAACTACACAAATATTTGAACAGGCATTCAGACAGATGTATGGAGAGCAAATAAGTACAATGAAAAGATGCTCAAGATTAGCCACTAAGGTAATTCAAAATAGTGAAAGCCACAATGAAATGTCACTACACAATCATTAAAATGCCTAAAAATAGACACGATATCAAGTTTTGGTGATGAAGTATATGGTGGAACTCTCACATATAGATGATGGGAATGTTTTTCACTTTAAATACAGTTGGGACATTTCTTTTAAAGTTAAAATCACGCATTTCATGTGATCCCAAATTTTAATAATATAGAGAAATATATGCTAATATAAAGATATATGTATGAATATTTATAACAGTTTTATTCATAAAAGTCCCTAACTGGAAGCAACCGAATTTCTACCAACAAACATTAAAGAAGTACTGGTTACAGGAAAGAAAAATATAATCTAGAGTGAAATTAAGCAGACCAGTAGCTGTCTAGTGCTGGGGGTTGGTGTAGTTACCTTTTGGGAGCACAAAATAACATTGTATGGTGATGGAAATGTTCTATATCTTGACTGTGATACTACTTACATTGATGTATAAATTGTCAAAATGCATCAAAATATATACTTCATATAAATACATTGCATTATAATGAAATTATGCTTTATAAAATTGATTTTAAGAAAAGAATGCCAATTTGTGAAAAAATTCAATTTAAGGGATAATATTTTCCTGATAAAGGAAATTCTAGAAACCTGGAAGTTTCCTGGAAATCTCAGATGAAATAGAACAATTATATTATTAGATTCATTTTACAGACTGTGAAACTTGTAAATTTCTATAAACGTTAATTTTTTAAGGTCCCATAGCAGGTGGGCAGAAATAATTAATCCAAACTATAGAATTCACTGGGAAGAATTTTAAGGAGCAAATTGAAGGTGTGAAAGACTAGAACATCTTTAAAAATAATTTTCTAATATTTATCTGGGGATATCCAGCTCAATTAAAGTATTGCTGCTTTTAGTCTTATTAATCACCTTCATTTAAGAAAACATTTCAACAGCAATTCAACGTTGAAATAAATAATGCTATTTAATTAATCAAAACATTAACATATTCTAATACTTGTATGCTGTGAGCAAACTAGCTTATGGAACAAATTCAACCTATTACCTGTTCTATAAATAAAGTTTTCTTGAAGGACAGCCACATCCATTTATTTATATATATTTTAAAAATATTTAAAACAGAGATTATGTGGTTTACGAAGCCTATTTGTTATCTAGACCATTACTAGGAAGTTTGTTGAATCCTACTATAGAGAAATATTTCTTTGTATGAGTTATTTGATACAGAACATATTTCATGATATTTTATGACATTTGCAATGATGATTTAAGGGACAATATTGTGTGGTGGTTGACAATGTAACTTTTAAAACCAGATAGCCTAGATTTCTTCCTGGCTCTGCCCATACTGGCTGTGGGAACTTGGGCAGATTATTTAGCCTCTGTGTCTTTCAGGTCTCCTGCTTTTAAATTCTAAATATAATAGCATCTACTTCATACAGATGTGAGAATTTACCAAGTCAATACATATCAACTACTTAGAGCAGTGACTGGCACATAATGTCCAACAACTGTTAGTTAGCATCCCCACCATAATCATCACCATCATCACCACCACCATCATCATTGGTAAGATATTATCATACAACAGGTCAAATAAAATTTCAAAATTAAAGGTATGTTAAAGTGTATTATAATGATTATAGAGACAAGAACAGCATGAAATTAAGATATTTTAAATTTTGAAAAGTTATCAATTTAACATTTACATTTTTTGTTACAGTTAATTATGTGCATGATTTTTATTTTCTATTTGAGTTTATATTCTTTGATTCCTGGAAGGTTCTGGTTTTTAACTCCCAAAGTTTTGAGTGGTTCTATGCATGATCTTAACAAAAAAAAAATGCCAATTTGTAAAAAAATTCAATTTAAGGGCCAATGTTGTCCTGATAAAGGAAATTCTAAGAACCTGGAAGTCGCCTGGAACTGATGTAGTGGTTATTCCATATTTATTGGCGGATCAGCAGATTAACGAATAATGTGTCACCATTTATAGCACAGGACATTGGAAATGATGCGTCATTCATGTTAAACAGAAAGTTAATTGAAATAACTAGCTGTTTTTGATTAAGCACTTACCACCGATCCCACAGAAATACAAACTACCAACAGAGAATACTACAAACACCTCTACGCAAATAAACTAGAAAATCTAGAAGAAATGGATAAATTTCTCGACACATACACCCTCCCAAGACTAAACCAGGAAGAAGTTGAATCTCTGAATAGACCAATAACAGGAGCTGAAATTGTGGCAATAATAAATAGCTTACCAACCAAAGAGTCCAGGACCAGATGGATTCACAGCCGAATTCTACCAGAGGTACAAGGAGGAACTGGTACCATTCCCTCTGAAACTATTCCAATCAACAGAAAAAGAGGGAATCCTCCCTAACTCATTTTATGAGGCCAGCATCATCCTGATACCAAAGCCGGGCAGAGACACAACCAAAAAAGAGAATTTTAGACCAATATCCTTGATGAACATTGATGCAAAAATCCTCAATAAAATACTGGCAAACCAAATCAAGCAGCACATCAAAAAGCTTATCCACCATGATCAAGTGGGCTTCATACCTGGGATGCAAGGGTGGTTCAATATATGCAAATCAATAAATGTAATCCAGCATATAAACAGAACCGAAGACAAAAACCACATGATTATCTCAATAGATGCAGAAAAGGCCTTTGACAAAATTCAACAACTCTTCATGCTAAAAACTCTCAATAAATTAGGCATTGATGGGACGTATCTCAAAATAATAAGAGCTATTTATGACAAACCCACAGCCAATATCATACTGAATGGACAAAAACTGGAAGCATTCCCTTTGAAAACTGGCACAAGACAGGGATGCCCTCTCTCACCACTCCTATTCAACATAGTGTTGGAAGTTCTGGCCAGGGCAATTAGGCTGGAGAAGGAAATAAAGGGTATTCAATTAGGAAAAGAGGAAGTCAAATTGTCCCTGTTTGCAGATGACATGATTGTATATCTAGAAAACCCCATTGTCTCAACCCAAAATCTCCTTAAGCTGATAAGCAACATCAGCAAAGTCTCAGGATACAAAATCAATGTGCAAAAATCACAAGCATTCTTATACACCAATAACAGACAAACAGAGAGCCAAATCATGAGTGAACTCCCTTTCACAATTGCTTCAAAGAGAATAAAATACCTAGGAATCCAACTTACAAGGGACGTGAAGGACCTCTTCAAGGAGAACTACAAACCACTGCTCAATGAAATAAAAGAAGATACAAACAAATGGAAGAACATTCCATGCTCATGGGTAGGAAGAATCAATATCGTGAATATGGCCATACTGCCCAAGGTAATTTAGAGATTGAATGCCATCCCCATCAAGCCACCAATGACTTTCTTCACAGAATTGGAAAAAACTACTTTAAAGTTCATATGGAACCAAAAAAGAGCCCACATTGCCAAGTCAATCCTAAGCCAAAAGAATAAAGTTGGAGGCATCACGCTACCTGACTTCAAACTATACTACAAGGCTACAGTAACCAAATCAGCATGGTACTGGTACCAAAACAGAGATATAGATCAATGGAACAGAACAGAGCCCTCAGAAATAACGCCGCATATCTACAACTATCTGATCTTTGACCAACCTGAGAAAAACAAGCAATGGGGAAAGGATTCCCTATTAATAAATGGTGCTGGGAAAACTGGCTAGCCATATGTAGAAAGCTGAAACTGGATCCCTTCCTTACACCTTATACAAAAATTAATTCAAGATGGATTAAAGACTTAAATGTTAGACCTAAAACCATAAAAACCCTAGAAGCAAATCTAGGCGTTACCATTCAGGACATAGGCATGGGCAAGGACTTCATGTCTAAAACACCAAAAGCAATGGCAACAAAAGCCAAAATTGACAAATGGGATCTAATTCAACTAAAGAGCTTCTGCACAGCAAAAGAAACTACCATCAGAGTGAACAGGCAACCTACAAAATGGGAGAAAATTTTCGCAACCTCCTCGTCTGACAAAGGCCTAATATCCAGAATCTACAATGAACTCAAACAAATTTACAAGAAAAAAACAACCCCATCAAAAAGTGGGCGAAGGATATGAACAGACACTTCTTAAAGGAAGACATTTATGCAGCCAAAAAACACATGAAAAAATGCTCACCATCACTGGCCATCAGAGAAATGCAAATCAAAACCACAATGAGATACCATCTCACACCAGTTAGAATGGCAATCATTAAAAAGTCAGGAAACAACAGGTGCTGGAGAAGATGTGGAGAAATAGGAACACTTTTACACTGTTGATGGGATTGTAAACTAGTTCAACCATTGTGGAAGTCAGTGTGGCGATTCCTCAGGGATCTAGAACTAGAAATACCATTTGACCCAACCATCCCATTACTGGGTATATACCCAAAGGACTATAAATCATGCTGCTATAAAGACACATGCACACATATGTTTATTGCAGCACTATTCACAATAGCAAAGACTTGGAACCAACCCAAATGTCCAACAGTGATAGACTGTAGACTGAATTAAGAAAATGTGGCATATATACACCATGGAATACTATGCAGCCAGAAAAAAATGATGAGTTCATGTCCTTTGCAGGGACATGGATGAAATTGGAAATCATCATTCTCAGTAAACTATCGCAGGAATGAAAAATCAAACACCGCATATTCTCACTCATGGGTGGGAATTGAACAATGAGAACACATGGATACAGGAAGGGGAACATCACACTCTGGGGACTGTTGTGAGGTGGGGGGAGGGGGGAGGGATAGCATTAGAAGATATACCTAATGCTAAATGACGAGTTAATGGGTGCAGCACACCAGCATGGCACGTGTATACATATGTAACTAACCTGCACATTGTGCACATGTACCCTAAAACTTAAAGTATAATAATAATAAAATAAAAATAAATAAATAAATAAATCCTTTGAAAGCATTGAAGTTGGCTGTGATATAAAGGGATTACTTCTGTTGAGGGTATGAATTAAGATGTATTTGTTTGTGTTTAATTAGATGAGTATCTTTTACTAATGGAAATTTCATTGAATTCAAATTACAACCCTATTAGAATGTGAATGCTGAATTCCTTTGTTACAAGGCCATTGAACAATGATCATCTCATTGCATGTGTAAGTTGAAAGGTATATTTTATCAGTAGTTTCTTATCTTGCTACTTATTTGATAAGACAAATAGAGTAAATTTAATAAATTTCCAAAAAAAAAGCTTTAAAACATTTGGTTAAAAATTTCCTAAATGACTAGAAAAATTCATTTTGTTCTTTTTCTAGTGATGTGATATGGATGTTTTTCCAATTTTCATTGCAGTAATTTATGTTCAAAGTTCATGTAAAAGATGTTTCCACAAAATATTCTGCATTAGTAGAGATAGTAACTAGTTGATTCACATACTAATTCATCGAGGGCTGCTCATGACATGAAATTAGTCTTCCACAGTGAAGATTCATCCTGGAATTGTTACCCATGTGAGAGCATAATGTGCCTTTCTCAATATTTCTGCTTGGATAGTTAGAGCATATTCATATTGATTTGTAACAGTCAATACCATGGTAACATATGAGTGTTTTTTTTTTTTTTTGTATAAAACAATTATACTTTGAAATAAACCTTTGAGAAAACTGGAAGGCATTGAGGTGAATGTGTCTTTGAGTATAATGGTCTGTGTTAATGAAAAAAGTAGCCAGTGCTTATAATCTGAAAAAATTCTCTGTACTAAAATTAGAGGCATCTTCAACATTCCAGTATTTGCTTACTGGTCAAAAAAGATAACGTAATTCTTAAGCAGACACTGAGAGTGCATAAAACTGCTATAAAAATCAAAAGGGATTAGGTTGCAACAAATAAGAATTATTTATTTATTTATTTATTGGAGACAGAGTCTCACTCTGTCGCCCAGGCTGGAGTGCAGTGGCACAATCTCAGCTCACTGAAACCTCCACCTCCCGGGTTCAAGCAATTCTCCTGCTTCAGCCTCCCGAGTTGCTGGGATTACAGGCACGCGTCACCTCACTCAGCTAATATTTGCGTTTTTAGTAGAAACAGGGTTTAGCCATGTTGGCCAGGCTGGTCTCGAACTCCTGACCTCAGGCAATCCACTCCCCTCAACCTCCGAAAGTGCTGGTATTACAGGCATGAGCCACCGCGCCCGGCCAAGAATTCTTTATTTCAAAGTACAAAGCAATATAGGTATATGAAAGAGAAACTTGAGGTCTCCTTAAAGGATTTAAAACTAAAAAAGTCATCAATACACACGAATGAAGGAGAAGAAAATTATCAAGTTAATTTTTTAAGAGTATCTGCTAGAGCCTATTAGTCATGGACATTGAGATACATTGTACTTTCATATTTTATAAGAGACTATGAAAAATATTTCTGTAAAATATTCTTAATAAGAAAATGATATCTGTAAACTAGTCATGTTCTGTTAATTAGAATAAAGGATTGAAGGAAAAATCATTACTATAATTGCTGGTAGAATAAGCTAAAACTATCTTATTATCTTTCCAAACTTTCAGCTTCCTGCTAATTTAGGATAATAGATATCCTCATGCGTATAGTGTGTTGTATGTGTATAAGTGCATGCATTATGTGTGTGTGTGTGTGAATTTGTATGCATTACTTTGAGAAGTGTGAAGCTCTGTGAGCTGTACAGTATAATTTTGTGTTATCATTATATTGATTATGAAATGTTCACTCTACTTTGGATATCTCGGGTCTACTGTCACCTATGCCTATGGAGATTAGAATTGCTCTGCTTCCAATATTTTCAATTCTAAAATTCTTCTCTAATAACAGTCTCCATATCTTCAATTCTTAACTTTTTGCCTATCTGGTTTTTTGACCAGCTATAAGCAGCCCATACTCTTCTTATTGTTCCCATCTCTGATATTCTTCTTGATCTTCCCAGTTTCTCCTGTTCCTAGAACCTGGATTCCCCCCATCATCCCTCTTTCCCCTTTGTGTCTTGACCTCCCAATACTCTAGAGATCACTGCAACATAGTCTTCTCTGATTTGAGAAGACTTGCTATTTTCTTAGCAATCTTAAACTGATATCTATTGTTCTTCCTATTGCTTTGTTCACAATGTCTTTAGAATCTTCTTGATAATTATTATAATAGTAGATAATTGTTCAAAAGTGCCTACAATGTACCAGATTTTCTAAGAATTTTATTAACTCATTTAATATCACGGAAACATACAGGTGTTTGGGCAGGAAGATTTTCAGAAAATGATTAGCTTAGAAATGCAGGAGGAGTGGCCAGGTGCGGTGGCTCACACCTGTATCCCAGCACTTTGGGAGGCCGAGGCGGGCGGATCACAAGGTCAGGAGATTGAGACCATCCTGGTTAACACGGCGAAACCCCGTCAAATACAAAAAATTAGCCGGGCGTGGTGGCGGGCGCCTGTAGTCCCAGCTACTTGGGAGGCTGAGGCAGGAGGATGGTGTGAACCCGGGAGGCTGAGCTTGCAGTGAGCCGAGATGGCGCCACTACACTCCAGCCTAGGTGACAGAGTGAGACTTGTCTCAAAAAAAAAAAAAAATGCAGGAGAAAGTATTTATAGCTTTTAGGGTGCCTTTCTGATCCACTTATACAATTAAATTTATATTTATATAGTCAACTATGGTCTCTCATAAACCCAATTTGACAGCATTCTTAGAGCGTCTCATTTTTGAGCACTTCTGAGGTTGAAGATTTGACCAGGCTCATTGTGACAGTCTTTTTTTCTTTGTTTTGCTAATATTGCTTTCATTTATTTCTCTTCAGGTACTTATACTACTTAAGCTTTTCTCATTTTCTTACTATTCCCCTTCTTTTTTACTCTAATTATGGGTATTCTTTTAAAGTTTACATTGAGACCCACAGGATTGAAGCAGATGTCTCTTGTAAATGTGTCCTATGTTCTCAGTTTTTCCATTTCAAGATAAATGAATCCAGTGTAAGTATCATTGTAAAGAAAGAAAAGGAAATTCATGACATCATTATTGCATCTACACCAGCAGGCATGAAAACCTTGCTCTTTTGTTGAAATATCTTTTTATCTCATATTGAAAATGCAGCTTTTATGTGGGTGCAGGATTGCTATAAGAAAAGGCATGCCTATAGACTATATTATGATTTGAGAAAAAGTGAAATCATTATATGATAACTTAAAGCACAAGAAAAGTGAAGGATCTGAAGCCGGATAATTTAAAGCCAGCAAAGGATGATTTGATAATTTTAGAAAGAGATTTGCCTTAAAAAAAAAAAAGTGAACATAAAAAGAAAAGCAACTTCTGCCAGCGAAGAGGCAGCAAATGAGTTTCCAAATGTCAGTAAGAAAATCATTCAGGAAAAAGGATATCTGTCCGAACAGGTTTGTAATGCAGAGAAAAAATGTCCATTCTGAACAAAAATGACACAATCGACATTTATTAGTAACGGAGAGATGCACGAATAAGGTTTTAAGGCAGGGAAGAATAGGCCAACTATTCTGTTTTGTAAAATGCAGTCAGGTTTATAGTCAGGACTGTCCTTACCTTTGAAACTGCTAACTGCCAAGCATTGAAGGAAAAAGATAAACACCTGCTGTCAGTCTTGTGATTGTACAACAAGACGGCCTAAGCAATGAGAACACTTTTTTCTGGATGATTTAATTGACACTTTGCCTTTGTCCCCGAAGTCAGGAAGTACCTTATCAGTAAGGGACTGTCTGAAAGTTTTTAGGTTGTTTGTTTTTTGTTTTTGATATTGGACAATACCCCTGGGCAACCAGAACTCTGTGAGTTCAACACCAAAGGCATCAAAATGGTCTATTTGCCCCCAAACATGTCTTCAATTCAGCTTCTAGATCACAGGGTCATAATAAACTTTAAAACTCATTATATATGGTACTCTATGAAAAGGATTGTCAAAAGTATGGAAGAGAATCCTGGTGGAATATTATAAACATCTGGGTGGATTTTACAATTGAAGATGCCATCGTTATTGTAGAAAAAGCCATGGAAGCCATCAAACCCCAAACAATAAATGCCTGCTGGGGAAAATGCTGTCCAGATGTTGTGTATAACTTCACAGGATTTATGACACAGCCAATCAAGAAAATATAAGAGATTGCGGATATGGCAAAAAAATTAAAAAAAAAAAGGTGGAGGATGAAGCATTTCAAGATATGGATCTTAGAGGAATTCAAAAGCTAATAGACACCACGCCAGAAAAATTAACAGAAGATTATTTGATAAAGATGAGTGCTTCTGATCCAGTACCAGATGATGAGATAAAGACATAGAAGAAGCATTGCCAGAAAACAAATTGACATTAGACAATCTGGCAGAAACGTTTTGATTATACAAGACTGTTTTTGACTTGTTTTATGACATGATCTTTTCTATGATATGGGCACTGAAACTAAAGCAAATGGTGGAAGAGGGATTGCTACTATGTAGAAGCATTTTTAGAAAAATGAAAAAGCAAAAAAAAAAAATGAAAAAAAAATACAGAAAGTACGATTGTATTTCCATAAAGTTACTCTGAATTCATCTCTCTCTCCTGCCTCTCCTTCTACTTACTCCACCTCTTCGGCCTCTGTCACCCCTGAGATGAGACCAAATTTTCCTCCTTCTCAGCCTACTCAACATGAAAATGACAAGGATGAAGATTTTTATGATGATCTGCTCCGACTGAATGAATACTGAATATTTATCTTTCTTCTAATTTTTTAGATAACATTTTCTTTTTTCTAGCTTACTTTATTGTAAGAATATCATATGTAAGACATACATCATACAAAGTATGTGTTAATCAAGAGTTTATGTTATTGGTAAGGCTTCTGGTTAGCAATATTTTATTAGTTAAGTTTTATGGGGGTCAAAATTATACATGGATTTTTTAATGTGCTGGTGGGTGGCATCTCAACCCTCATATTTTCAACAGTCAACTGTATAGATAATTATACATAGGCATATGTGTGTCTGTGTGTATATATATATATATATATGAGGCTTTTACAGAAAAAGTAACAAGAATTTAAAAAATCTAGTGTTGCAAATTTTACAAAAATATATCACCATGTGAGCACCTTCCTAGGACCCTCCCATGGCTTCAGAAGGAATCCATGCAAGTGAGAGGACAAGAAGCTTAAGCTTCATTAATTTCTTAGCATATGTTGGTACCCTTAGTCCCTTACTCTTCTCTCTTCACATTCTCTTTCTTAGCAGTGTTAGCTATTATTTTTGTGTATTTCATCTGACTCTGAACTATAGATCTACATAAATATTGGTATACTGGATACACCAACCTGAGTGTACCCTTGAGACTTCAGATATAATGTGCATAAATTAAGCACATTTTCTTTCTTAGGTTCCTTTTTCCAATTATTAGTGTTTTGCACCTCACTCCTTACACGCAATAGCTTCTACAACATTCTTTGGATGACTCATCTCATACAATCTTATCCTTTCTAATCTAGAACAAGTTGTTAATACCTCCTGTCTGAATTTTTAGATATTCCTAAGCATAGGCTATATATTCTAATATGGGATATAGGCTACATTCTAATTGAGGTCACCAGATGCAATATTTAGCCTACCAATACAGAAAGCACACTGGCTGTGGGTTAACATTTCTTCCCTATGACTCTAATGACATTATTCATTTACTTATGTATCTTTAGGTTTTTCCTACTATCTAAACTCGCATATTAATCTCCAAATTATTGTTTCTCTCTCTCTGCAAAGATGTACTGGTAGAAAATCAAAGAAAATATTTATGAAGTCATAAAGGGAAAGAGTAAAACCAGAAAATTTAAGTGTTTTGCCCCACACTTATTGTTTATAAATTAGTTTTAGGATTTAAGTCATGCATTCCGGATCCAGAAAATACCCATCACTCCTATGCTATTCTGCTTTCTTTAAGCACCATTGAAAGATAGCTGTTTGGAAGTTGTATATGAAGAAATTATACAGAACGTAGGATATTTGAGACAAAGGGAAAGACGTGAAAGAGAAAATCAACAATTTCAACCTCCAGTATCTAGCTATGTCATTTATTTATATTGATTGACATTTGCTGGGTTTTCTGAATCTGAGAACTAGTACTTTTTATTAATTCTGCTTAGGAGTTTAATATATGCTTGATAAAATTGTAGAGGCTGAATGGACTGGTGCCTGATTCCCATCCAGGGACTGCTTTTCAAGAATAAGACTATTTGGTTAACAACTTGAGTAAAGTAATAAGGAGCTTTGTTATTACAATAGAATTGGCCTGACTTTTGGAAATGGACAGTAAAAAATACCTGAAAGTTTTCCATGGGTCAGAGGGGTGTGATTCATCAGAGAAAGATAACCTGAAGCCAGTTTAAATCTTCTCAGAAGATTGTCTGAGGGGGAATGGGAAACTAAGAAGGAGTGGAGTCAAATTGTTAAAAAGGAGGATTCAAGGAAAACGCTTGTTCCATGTTTCATTAAGTACAGTCAGATATCACCAGTGGGGAGTCCCTAAAGAACCTTTGAAAGTGTCCAAGAGAGATAAAAAGACATATTTAAAACTATACACTAAACCCAGAGAACACAATTCCATCTTAACAAGTGATTAATCTGTGTAAGAACTTTCCTCCCCACTTAACTCCCTCTTTTTGATTAGACCTGGTTTGAAACCACACTTAGTAGGCTTAGAGAGAAAAAAAGAAGTAGGATTACACTCCTATTTCCCACATCAAGCAGCCATTTATTCAGGGAGTAAGAGAAGAGGAGCATATTTTTTGTTAAATCAAATTCTGTTTTTATTATCATTGAGATGGCACATTTTCAATAACTGCTTTGAGACTATGTTAACTCTTACACAACCACAGGTTTTTCTATTGCCTTACATTGATTAGAAAAGTCATAGTATGCAAGTAAAGAGATACTGAGAAGTAAAATAAAGTTTCTTTTATAAATAATTTCCATGAGCTCTTATTCAACATAACAGTTACATATAATCAACTGATTTTCAATTTAACATATTTGCCCAGGATATTAAAATAGGTTTATCCATTTAATTGTCTAATCAACATATCCAAGACATTCACATCCTGTGAAAAATAAACTTTTTAATTCATCTGAAAAAGGTCTTATTTTTAAGTATGATTTGAGAAAATGTTGGCATATGTCTGCTTCTGGACCAATGAACCAAAAAAAAAAAAAGAAAAAAGAATCGCAAATAGTGATTGGAATTCTGTATCTGGTGAGGAGGATGAGATTATCCTGATTGATTAAGACTAATTTGTATCAGTCCTAAAAATGAAAATAGAGCCAACTTTGAAGGAATCAGATGGGCTGGTTGTGAAAGAGATAAATATATAAATCAAAGCAGCATTATAATTTCACGAGGTCTGGTGAAGTGAATGCTATGAGTTATCAAAAGGATTCACTTTACTCATTTTACCCCCATTTTGGATCCATTAAAATTCTACCCCGTTCTCCCCTAGTATGTATCTCAAATCTAAGTACTTTTTATGCTAACCACCATTGATCTATTATCCACCATCAGCCCTTGCCTTTCCTAAATTACAATTCCTTATCTTTTATCTCAAGTAGCTATAATCGATTTTTTTTGTGTATTTTGATACAAATTTGTTTGTTTGTGTGTGTGTGTGTGTGTGTGTGTGTGTTGCTGTATTGGATCCATTCTTTGTGAAAAACATGTGTGTTGTTAAACACTAAGGAGAGGCTGGCGCTATGGCTCACGCCTGTAATCCCAGCACTTTGGGAGGCCAAGGTGGGTAGATCAGGAGATCGAGACCATCCTGGCTAACACGGTGAAACCCCGTCTCTACTAAAAAATACAAAAAATTACCCAGGAGTGGTGGCAGGCGCCTGTAGTCCCAGCTACTCGGGAGGCTGAGGCAGGAGAATGGCGTGAACCCGGGAGGCGGAGCTTGCAGTGAGTCGAGATCGCGCCACTTCACTCCAGCCTGGGTGACAGAGTGATACTCCGTCTCAAAAACGAAACAAACAAAAACACTAAGGAGAGCTGTTATATAAATTATTCCTCTTTCTGATCGTATTTACCATATTTTTCACCTTAATTTTGTAGGTTTCTTATTCTCTATCTCTTGAGTTTTGGTCATATCCATACATTAATGCCAGGGTAGTTCCTTATTTATCTTTCTCTTCCTTTATTATTTTTGACTCAAGCCAATCACTTGCTGAATAATAGTGTAAGGATTGTGTGAACGACATCTGGGGACAACCACAGCTTTAAATTATGACTGTTGTCTGGAATCCTAAATTTCTTAAGTCTATTATCCTCCAGGACATGACCTCCCTCAGTTGTTTACATTCAGATGTGATATTGTTTGGCTGGGTACTCACCCAAAATCTCATCTTGAATTGTAATCACGATAATCCCCATGTGTCAAGGGAGAGACCAGGTGGAAGTAATTGAATCATGGGGGTGATTCCCCTGTGCTGTTCCCGTGATAGTGAGTTCTCATGAGATCTGATGGTTTTATAAGGGGCCATTTTCCATTCACTGGGCATTTCTCCTTCCTACCACCCTGAGAAGAATGTGCCTTGCTTCCCCTTCACCTTCTGACGTGACTGTAAATTTCCTGAGGCCTCCCAGACAAACTGAACTGTGAGTCAATTAAAACTCCTTCCTTTATAAATAACCCAGTCTCAGGAAATTATTTATAGCAGTATGAAAACGGACTAATACAAGTTGGTCGATATGACTTATAATAAAGCCCCTTAATTCATGAAGCCTTTAAGTTATAAAAACTGTTTTTCTTCCTTCCTTTCTTGCAATTTATTTCAGATCTCTTCTTAGCTAAATGTCTGCCTTAAATTGCAAAAACTGATAATTATTATAATCTTTCCATTCTAATTTCTCCTACATTTATAATGTGCCAAACTGAGGCAACACCCATATTTTTTCTATGACCACCTGTGTCAATATTTTTGACAATCATTAAACATACCATTTAGGAAGCTAATTCATACTTTTAGGGGTAACTTAACACTTTCCCACCTCCCCATGTCTAAGGACATACAGGTGAACTGTTGTCTCTCTGCATTTTGGTTCAAATTTTAGAGTACTTGACAGCTTTTCAGTATAAGGTATGAATTGTGGTTATAATCTTTTATTTTTTTCTGCTTCATTAAAGAAGCACGAAACGCCTGCATTAAAGAAGGGGCTCTTCTATTTTTTGTTCATTTTGTTGTATTTTATAAGATTTAACAAAAGTAAAGAAAATTTAAACTATCTCACTTTGTCAGAATTAAACCCATTTATAACTATTAGTACTATTTATTAAGAACGATTTTTACAATTCTGATTTTCTTAGACTAATCTGATTATAAATGCAACACAATATTTAGACTTTTACATTTATTTATCAGCTGGGAAACAATTATAAACCTAATTGCTTTCAATCGCAATTCATAAAAAAAGGCTCAACCTCACTGTGATTTTCTATCTTTACTGATAACGCAGCAGAGTATCTCAAATAAAATACTATCCAGGAAGTTGTACTTAAAATTTGGCTTTAAAATCCCATTTTTCCTTTCCTTAAAGGTCTTTCCTTGAAGATGTATTTACTTGGCTAAAATATGACTTGAGATTTACAGCTAATTCATGCAGGAAAATGTGTAGTCCAGCTTTATAAATATTCAGGACCGTAAAAATGGGAAGAAATACAGAGAATACCTCACTGGTTCTTTTTACATTATACTGCAGATTAAACAACTTATAGTAGACATGAAAAAGAAGAAAGTATTTTCCTTTGTAGAAATATAAAAATAATCCTATTGTTTCAATTTCTACATACTTACATGTTCCTCATCGTCTCACAATTTACCTTGAGGAAATGAAATTTTCCATTTTTGCCAAACAGGACTTGTTCAAATATGTTGAATTTTCTTGTTCCAGTGTATGACAAAGCTGTCACTTTTAGGATTTTTGTACATCATCAATTTCCAAATTTGGATTGCCAAATAACATGCTTTGGCATTTAACTTAGTGTATGTTAAATCCTTTTTATAGTATCCTTTATTATTTTTGACATAAGTATAATTTTTTCTCAAATGGCATCCAAGGGGGCTAAATTACTGAATTGTCAAAATTATTTCCTTATAAAATAGTCCTGATACATGTATTCTAAAGGTATGGGCTCCAGGATTTAATGATGGTGCTCTTTTTACTGACATCTATTAGCTGCATTCCTATCTGTAGGTGAGGAAGCATGCTTGTTTTATGTTTACACTCTTGATTCTGCTTACAGCTCAGCTTCCTCCCTTTGTAAGAATCATCCTATCTCAGATTACTAACATGCCAACTTGTTCTTCCTGTTGCTATGGTTTCTCAGTCATTGGCTATGCCCTGTTGCTCAAAATTATGCTTAGGCATGTCCTCATAGAATTTCTTGTTTCTACCCTGATTTTGGTTGTTCTCAGTTTTGCATAAAGCAGTTATTCAACAACGCTTTGTAATTCAATTTTAGGTTGAGTTTATTTGACTTCATTGTAACTGAATGTGTCCCAACGATTTGGTTGGCACAGGATTTATGGGGGTTTGTCTTGTTAATGGTGGACCCAAAACGTGTAATATCTCTACTGAGCAATTAAGTTGAACAAATGGCATCATCCCTGAATCTGTTTCAATGTCATCATAAATCTGCAATATATTATTTACTTAAGATGTGTTTCAATAGTGACACAGCTGTTGGTTTCATCTAATGGCTTACCTTTTGTTCATTGTGACGTGGTGAAAGTACTGACATTTAGAGTGGCATCTGTGAAAATCTAGGCCTCACAGTCAAATTATAAATTGCATACTAACACCATTCTGTGAGCTATTAGCTTGGCTAAGAGCATTTTGCTCTGTTAGTGTCATATTTTGTTAGCTAGTCCCCCTGGGAACATGCTGCCTTTCTTTATTTTGTTCTCTATTTCCTGGAAAGCATGCTGTTTAATGATATTTAGCCAAAATAGTAAAATTCAATAATCAGGTTTTCTTTTTCTGTCTCCAATAAAGATCTTATGTTTTATGCTATGATGCTGTCTCTCACCTTAGTGGACTTTAGACTCATTATCATTATAAACACCATTGCATAATAATTACTAAACATTTATTAAAGTAATATACTTTGAAACAGAAGTACTGAATCAAAAACAAAGAGGTGAATCTTATTATGAGTTTTGAATCAAATAATTTAATTTGTTTTTGATTAGTTATTTGTTTTCTACTCAAAGTTAATTTTTACGTAATACTCTTGTCAATAGAAGACAATAAAGGGAAAAACAAAACGAGAACATAGGTCAAATTAGTTCAGGACAAAACGTGGCACGATTAATCTGTATGAGCTAATTAAATATTATATGATGTTATATACTCACATGCTTTACACATGTACATTCATGTATTCATGTTAATGACAAAAATATGATCTGCTAAGAATTTTCTCTTTTTCTCAGATACTTCTAATTTATATTCAGCCATTCCCTGGAGTATCCTACATTTGAATTTACAAAGCTAAGTTTAGATCAGGAGAAACAAAATTATAATCCCTATTTTCTTTAATTTAGCCATCACTAGAAAGTATAACTTCATTACTGGTTAATTTAAAAAATCTTAGAAGAATGGTAGATATTTAACATGGGTAATTTGAGAGTACAACCCATGTGCTAGATAGTTCATCCTGTTGAAAAACAGTTAAGAAATAAGCTAGCAAATTTTTTAACCATTACCTTAAAATGTAAATTAAATCTAAATATACTATGTATTTTAGCAACATAAATCTGAAGTTCCATCTAGATCCTTTTGTTAGAGCAAAGAGCTTTCCTAAAATATTGAAAAATGTTATTAATATTGTCAAGGATTATTGACTCATACCCTCTATATTGTAATAGCTAGAGGGTACGAGGGTATTAGTTATAAGAAAAATTTATTATGATATTTGTTATGTACAACTGTGTCCCCTCTGGGTCGCCAAAATGTGTCCGGAATTGGTTCCTTCCCGTGGGTTCTTGGTCTCCCTGACTTCAAGAACGAAGTTGCGGACCCTTGCGGTGAGTGTTACAGTTCTTAAAGACGGTGTGTCCAAAGTTTGTTCCTTCAGATGTTCAGATGTGTCTGGAATTTCTTTCTTCTGGTGGGTTCGTGGTCCAGCTGATTTCAGGAGTGAAGCTGCAGAC
Organism: Homo sapiens; assembly: GCF_000001405.40. NCBI lineage: Eukaryota > Metazoa > Chordata > Mammalia > Primates > Hominidae > Homo > Homo sapiens. The sequence goes on along the minus strand of NC_000006.12, from coordinate 62,370,168 downwards.
CTTCGCAGTGAGTGTTACAGCTCTTAAAGTTGACGTGTCTGGAGTTGTTTGTTCCTCCCAGTGGGTTCGTGATCTCACTGGCTTCAGGAGTGAAGCTGCAGACCTTCATGGTGAGTGTTACAGCTCATAAAGGTAGTGCGGACCCAAAGAGTGAGCAGCAGCAAGATTCATTGGAAACAGCCAAAGAACAAAGCTTCCACAGCTTGGAAGGGGACCCAAGCAGGTTGCTGCTGCTGGCTCTGTGGCCAGCTTTTATTCCCTTATTGGGCCCTGCCCACATCCTGCTGATTGGTCCATTTTACAGAGTGCTGATTGGTCCGTTTTTACAGAGTGCTGATTGGTGCATTTATAAACCTTTAGCTAGACACAGTGTGCTGATTGGTGCATTTTTACAGAGTGCTGATTGGTGTGTTTACAAACCTTTAGCTAGACACAGAGCGCTGACTGGTGCGTTTTTACAGAGTGCCAATTGGTGCGTTTACAAACCTTTAGCTAGACACAGAGCACTGATTGGTGTGTTTACAATCCCTTAGCTAGACAGAAAAGTTCTCCAAGTCCCCACCCAACCCAGAAGCCCAGCTGGCTTCACCTCTCAAAACCATGTTAACTCAAAGTTGAAACCATCTTTCTATATGGAGTTAATTTTATGCCACAAACTTGGTAACACATTGGCTCAATTTAACTCTTAACAAAACCAATCTGTATAAAAGGACAATACAGAATTTATTTCAAGAGGGTATGGCTAGTGTTCTATTTCCCCTCCTAGAATATAATTACTAGTTAAATAAAAAGATAAGTAAAATAAAGATGGGTTTGAATACGATACAGTTATTCAATTTGTCATCACATGACATTTAAGAATGTTCAACTGGACAAGGGCACTCTCTAAGAGTCTCAAAGTCTCAGCATTGAAGATGTTGACGTCGAAAACTTACCAATAATGCTGCTTTTTATGACATACGGCTTTTTGTATTATTTTATGTGCATTTTCCTGCCTTTGCTATTTTGAGTCTACATGGTGAATAAAACAAAATTTGGAGTCAGAAGTACTGAATTGTAGTTTTGTTATACCAGTTGTGTCCTCTGTGGCCTCTAAATTTTCTGATTTTCTGATATTCTGTTTTCTTTTCTGTAAAACGAGGAGGCATTGTATGAGAATCAAATGGGAAAAAGTTTTGACTTTTTTTTTTTTTAATTCAGGCTGAAATACAGCGGCGGTATCATAGCTCACTGCAGCCTCAAACTCCTGTGCTCAAGCAATCTTCTTGCTTCAGCCTCCCAAGTAGCTGGGACTACAGACATGTGCCACTATGCTTAGCCAACAAAAATAAATAAACTTCAAAGTATTAACACAAATGTTAATTGTTAATTTAAAGGTTGAGCCTCGACAGGTTTCTGAGGATGGCGTGTATTAAATAATCAAAGGTTGAAACTGTTTTCTATGAGAACATAAGACAATATTTATTTTATGCTGGATATTAAAAATATTCTCTTAGTCACTTCAAAAAATGCATGAAATGAAGATTAATGAATATAAACATTTTAAGAGAAAAATACACTTTTCGTCTTCAGAAATGTTTCTCTCTCCATTTGCAAATCATTTTCTGCTTTTACTTTCAGGTTGCCAATTCCATACTTTTTGAATTTTTATTATTTTAGTTTAAACACATTTCATCAAAATAATCCATATTCATTACAAAGACATAAAATATAAATAATGTAAAGAATCTGGAAAAAATAACCTATCATATTAAAAACAAACTAGATAATCCGGCACATTTAGGCTTAAATTTCAATGCTGCTACGTTCTTACTCTGAACTTTGGAAAACATTATGAAATTATTTTGTGCTTCTAATTACATAACATGGGAAATAATATCGATTTTTCCAAGATATTCTGTATGAGTGACATGAAATAATGCATGTAAACTACATTCTATAAAACATGCCACCTAAATGCTTAATAAATGACAGCTTTTGTCATTATAATACTACCATTTCCTGTGGAACTATTGTTCATATTATTTCTTTGTTTAACATTTAAAAATTACTTTTTAACTATAATAAAATCAAAACATTTAACCCCTTAAAAATTTTTAATTTATCTGTCTAAACCTTCTTCTCATATCATATGGCTGCTTTGCTTTCTGGCTTACAATTTATATACCTGGAGCTTAAATAACAATTCCCAAGCATTTTTACCTTTTGGATAAGCTTTTGTGTCTTAATCTCATATTTAAAATGTAAACGTCCGAATTAGATATACTATGTTTAAAGTGGTCGGACTCCTGAATATTGAAATGAGACTAAGCTCTCTCTTTGTCTGAATAATATTCTATTAATAGAACCTTTCTAACTTCCCCTTTCCCCATTGCAAACATAATAATGTGGCTTCCGGTTAAGCTTGAGTTCCACTGAAACATTCTGTCTGCCACTCCTCAAAGAGCTGCTAAACAATCTTCCCTCACCAAATATCTATATTAATTGCACACATTAATATAAATTTTTATATTTATTCTTAACAAAATTTATCTGCTTTTTTTCGCTCATTATTCTCTCCTGTTTTCACATAGTTTTAGCCTAATTCTTTCATACAATATTTAACAGTTCTTACTGCTTTATAACATTGATCTGCTTGCTTTACACATTTTCAGAAATATTGTTGATATTTTAAAATTAAAAAACAGCCAAAATATAATCCTATGACATACTTCACTAGAGCAGTTTCTCTACAATGACATTTCATTAATCAATACTCTTTTTTTTGAGAAGATTGCACAAGTAGCCATGAATCTAAATGCCTATAATATAAATTAGTGTTTATTTTTTACACCTTATATGTAAAATTATTTATATTATGCTGTGTGTAGACTAAAATAAAAACACACTGTTTATGCAGCAGTCACTTTCTAGGTCTAAAGATCTAATCAGGATTTAGCAAGTCAACTTAATTTTACATATGTTCTAGCAAGGATGATCACTACTGATATTACTTTTGCATATCTTAGCAAATTTATGTGATAATCCATTGTGGAATTTTTATGTTGATATCAAACATGTTGGTCTGATATGATAGATTCTAGAATCCATTTTTTATATTAAAAGTCAATTTCCCTTATTTCCATCTGATTATTTTTGTTGTCCCAAATATCATAATATTGCTTTTATTCTGTAAAATAATAAATACATATAGACCACCTACCATGTGCTAAACCCAACAATAGTGCAATATTAAACTATATAGACAAGTTTGCTTTTCTCATAAAATTTATATTACAAGGAGTTACATACAAAATTAATGTATCACCTAATACATACATAAAAGTAACCTAGAAGGAAGTATAATTTGGAAGGAAAAGAGCAGGTTGCTATGGTAAAGAATAATAGAGGCAGTTTAAATAGATAAATGGCAATGATTATCTAAGGGAGTGATATTTTAGACTAAAAGGGGCCAACTAAGGGAAGAACCAGAAAAAGAACATTTCAGGTGCAGAGAACAATGCCACGACCTTAGACAAAAATATTTAATTTTGTTCTGGAGTGGGACTAAAAGCCAGGTGACTACGTGATGGTAAAAAAGAGGAGAGTGGCATGAGATGAAGTTGATGATATAGTTGGGGTGAAATCACCAAAATACCTGAAGGCTTCTGGTAAGAAGTTTAGATTTTACTTTGTAAATTGGGGCTCCATGAATAGACTCTAAATGAGTAGCAACATGGTCATCATAGAATTTAAAAATGATATTTCTGACAGCTTGGTAGAGATAGAATTGTTAGAATGCCCAAGAACAAAATAAGAATGGAAACTAGTTAGGAAGAATTGTAATACTCCAAAGAAGATACAGTGAATGAATCATTTAATTTCAATTTGCCCAAGGGAAAACATATATCAATTATAAAATGACCAAATCCTTAAAAAATAACTCATAAATATACTGAATGATTAATTTGTCAAATTTATCAATTTACTAGAAAATGTTATGTATTCATGAAGTTTAGAGATATTTTGATATGAATGATTTTAATTTTAAAAATTTCTGAGATGTTTTAGTCAATTTGTTTTTATTTGTCTATTTTTATATCCAGTTTATTTTTATTTATTATGATCCATTTTACTCTAGCAAGCCAAAATTTAGTGTATGCCTGGTTGTTCTACTATTCCCTGATTTGAGAATAAGAATAACTTCTGCATTTTTAATGACAGTTATGTGGCATATATTCAATATTGGGATTTTAAAGTGAAAGAATAAGTTTCTGTTTTTCAATAAATTTTCAGTCATATAATCATTTGTGAGCTCAATTAGCTGAATATTTGAGGATTTCTTGAAGTCTGAAATGTGAACCCCTCTTAAAGTAGACATTTGAGTAAACTAGTACAACAAATTCAGTACAAACAACTGGAGTAAGTAAAATTCAGCAGTCTCAAAACTATTATGAATCAACTCATCTTACAATTCAAAAATCCTCTAGAAACCATGTATGTAAAACAATATGCTAGAAACTATATAAATATTTAATATAAAAATGTTTGAGCCTGTAATTCCAGCACTTTGGGAGGCCGAGGTGGATGGATCCCGAGGTCTGGAGTTCAAGACCAGCCTGGATAATACGGTGAAACCCCGTCTCTACTAAGAATACAAAAATTAGTTGGGCGTGGTGACAGGCACCTGTAAACACAGCTACTTGAGAGACTGAGGCAGGGAACTGCTTGAACCCAGGAGGCGGAGGTTGCGGTAAGCTGAGATCGCATCATTGCACTCCAGCCTGGGCGGCAGAGTGAGACTCCATCTCAAAAAAAAAAAAAAAAAAAGTTTGAGTGAATTTGCATTTTTGGTAATTTTTGGTAATTTGATTATTTGGCTTTTAAATAATTGATTTTAAGCAAATTTGTTTATTTAGAAAAACAAAGTTTTGGTAAATTAATCATTTGGAAATTTAGTAAACTGGCCAGTGAGTGAACTGATTACTTAACAAATTTATTTTGGTAATAGTTATTTGATTTTCTTAAAGAAATACTTCAATTGAATTTTAACATGTTGGCTATAAGTAGATTGATTTTTGTGAATCGAAATCAATATATTGGCCTGCTTTGGGCTTGCAGTCTAATAATAGAAATGGAAATAGAGTGAACTGAGTTGATATGATATTTTGGGAAGACAATATGGTTTGATGTTGCTTTGGTTTTGAAGGATGGGAGGTAAAAAGAGTTCAATGATTACTCCCGCAGTTTTGGGTTTGAAGTCATGGTGAACACTGGCATCATCCACTGACATGGGGAAACGTGGTGAAAACGGGTTTGCTGATTGGGGAAGAAGTTTCTAATTAATATTTGAATATACTTGAGATAGTAGAAACAAAATCATGTGAAGATGCCAAATATTATAGACAGTAGAATATACCAGCCTAACGGGGGAGGAATAGTGTGGGGGTAAAATTCAAGTAGTCGTCAGAATATGGATGGAACTTAAAACCAAGGATAGGAGGTAAAGAAAGAAGCACCAGTATTCATTCCTAAGGTTCTCCAACATTTAGATTGTGTGTAGAGATATTAATAACACATCGAAGAAAGGGATCTAAAAGGAATAGCTGATGAGATACACGGCTACTAAAAAAATGACAAAAGAAAGTTACAAGGAGGGTAGAATTGTCATGTATATCCAATGAAAGAGCTTCATTCAGGCTATCTCACTTGACCCCCGACCTCCCTTTTATTTATTTTTAAGGTTTTCACTTCACTTTATTACTCATAATTTCTGTGCTTTGTCTTATACATACACACACACTCACACAATGTGAGTGTGTATGTGTGTTATATGATTATGTCAGTATTCTACTTCATGTTCAACCATTAACTCTTTAATGACAGGCACTCTGTCATTTACCTTTACATGCCCAGCAGAATATATAAAAATACAAAGTTCTCTGAAATATTTATTGAATTGCATCAGATTATTTCTATAAGAACTTTGGCTCAGACACCATCATGATGCAAATATCAATATTTATGAAACATGTAGGTATATCTTGTATATTCAAGCCAAAAACAAGAGTATATTTCAATCCTTACCAGACATTTTAATCTAACTTAAAACCATGTATTGCTTTTTTGATTGAACATGTATTATTTTTTCTATAAAGTTTCCTTTTTGAATTTTTATGAAAATCTTTCAAAGCCATATAGTTGAATCACAAATGCTCATCTCAGAGCAGAAAATTTGCAGAAAACCATGTCTGCCTGCTACGCCAGCTACTAATCTGAAACTGCAGCCTGTACCTTTAATGCTAAATTGATTTTACTCATCTTTGCATATGTGATCAAGATCGGTATACATTTTGAACCATTACTTAAAATTTTTTATTAATTTTGGAAGTTGCAGTCTGTGAAAATGATTGGTTTTCTGAAAAGCTTTTTTGCTTATTTGCACCTAGACAAAGGCCATGTGTAAGCTCCTCAACAAAACTATAAACTTGGCATTAGGCCATTATATGAGCAAAATTTCTAGAGATTTGTTTATTTCTGGGATTGAAATATTTATTGACATAATGTAAATGGGAATGAGTTTCATTCTATGAGCTAACACTACTAAAAATAGAATAATATAGCCCAATGTATATTGGAAAAGAAAAATTAAAAAAAAAAAGGCTGGGAATGAGTCTTCAAAATCAGTAAGCATAATCCAAATAATTTGTGGTTTAACTGGCTTTAAACATAAATCTACATGCAATAAATTGTCTAGCATTTCAACCTTATTTTTCAGGATTCTATCACCATAAAACCACAGAATATCATCATAAAGAGGAATCTTAGTGGTCACTTGTCCAAACTTCCGCAGCATGCAAGAATATCCTCTAAAATCTCCATCTAGTAATTATTCAGATTCTGTAGAGATAGCCAATAATGAGAATTGTATTCTATCCACAACAACCTATTTTAAAAGGTATATTTAAAGGCACCAGAGCTAATAATATATTTATCTCTATTGGTAGATTTTGAGCTCTTTTGGAAGAAAAACTTTATTTGTATTTCAACTACAATGTTTAGCACAGTTTCTGGCACATCAAAAACATTTGTAAATTTTTGTTTTGTGTTGCTTTGCTTTGTTATAATAATGCCATAAATAGTTAAAGTGGAAATATTTATATTTCTCTACACACTTCTTGTATAATGGTTCCAAATTCCCATAAGGCTTATTTTTTACTCCTACTATGGAGTGATCATGTTTTGCTTTGTAGTATGAATAGGAAGCAGATAGACTTCTCAGATAGCAGAGATGTATAGCTTCACTTTTCTATAACACAACTCACTATCAGTTTAGGGGTCTCTCACTCAGCATTAGGAGGAAACTTAATTTGGGCTAAGTTTTAATTGTCCTCTCCTTACCTCTTAGTTGCAACATAAACACTACAGGGCTTTTGGGGGCTTCAAGACTTTGAGGTGGTGTAATCTGCCTCTTCCTGTCAAATTCTGTCACTTCTACTTTTCTGGACACCCTTTGATGAATTTTATTTTTTACTTAATCTTTGGCTTTAAGTCAGTTCAATCCATTGCTATTTCAGCTTTCCTTTAATGTATTATCTCTTGAATACTTTTGGACCTCCTTTTAGAAACTCAGAGAACATTCTAAAATTGCATCATATTGAGCCAAGGAGATCCCATGAGCTAATTCTTACTTTTCTAGGTACACCTGCCAATATTTCTGTTCTGGAGACCTGCCAGGCTACCCAGACTCTATAGGGAAAGTAGGTGCAGATTCCATCCATTGTCTAATTTCTAAACCTAAGTGAGTATTCTCCTTATATTCACTCAATCCTTGACAGAGACCTGACAGAGTAATAACCCTGTGCTCAGTGACAGGTGATTATTTAACTCTCCTCAGTTGCCTTCATTTTTCCTGCCCCCGGAGCCTGTTATCTAGTCTCAGGAGTGGAAAATCTTGTTTTGATACATCATCATTTTTCAATACCACCTGACCCTGCTTATGAGCCCTTTATATGATTCCTTGGAATTCTAGGCTTTTGAAATTCAGAAATAGAAGAAATAACTTTTTCTGTTCTGTATTCTCTTGCATCATTTCTTCCTGGAGCGGATCATGCATAATGCCTTATCTAATTCAAAGAAGCAAGGCCTTAGGATTATGACAATATTGGGGATAGAAGCAAAGGAAACTTGCATTCATATTTCAACTAACATATTTTTCTACCAAATCATATGCTTCTCCAATAAGACATCAAAGCTTTTATCCTAGATAATATAGTTCAGTACCTTGAAGTTTCCCAATAAATAATGGTGTGATTGTAAGATAGGATAATTTGCTTTCAATTATACTCAAAGTTAAGGTACCAAGAAAACCTTCTTTTTATTTGGCTTTGTCATGTATTATATGACTAATAACAGCAGTATATCAATCTAATATTAATATTGGTCTGCACTACCTAACTACACACTAGGAGGAGTGAGAAAGCAATGCTAAGGCCATACTATTGGGAATTTAAAAATTAACATTTGAAATTATTTGACTATAAAGAGCACTATTTCACCCATAGTTACTTTTTAAATATTTAAAATATTGATGCTTATTCCTCACCTTTTCTATAATTTTGTAAATCAAAAGATTCATTCAATGTGAGCAAAATAGAAAAGACCTTTTAGTTTATATATGTAAAGTATGAATCACTTATAATAACTCCCATTAGCACTAATGGAAATTTGCATGTAATAAATCCTTTTGGTGTCTGGAGAATATACCAGAGATCTTTTAAACTGTCTGGTGCTTTTACCCCTGGGTTTTTCAGAAGTGATGAGCCATCAGATAACATATAATGTTCCTGGAAAGGAATAGGAGTAGCTCCAGTTTTCTGTCTTTGCATATAATAGCCACTTTTTTTTTTCCAGAAGTGCATGCATATGTGTCTTAATACTCTCTCACAACTATATTTCAGTGGAGCTCAAGGAAAAAAAAAATACCAGATCAGATGAGGGGGACTACAATTATTAGCTATGACACTCATTAAAAAATTTCTACAAATGTAACTATAATTGGTCATAAAAGGAGTTACAGAAAGTTGTTTATAACTTTAAGTAATGTCTGTTTAGCATTAATATTACCATTTTGCCTGTTTCCTTAAAAAAAGGGAAAAATCTATCAAGATAAAAATCATCTTGTAATGTATCAATTTTTCATTTTATAGGAAAATAAAGTATAATCTAGTTTTTATTGACAAGTTAGGCCTGAGTCTGTACATACTAATTGCTCTGGTTGTTTTGTCAGATTAGTAACCAAAAAATAGACTCATAAGGAATAATTTGATATAGCAGGAAGTGTTTTGTGGCTGACAATTTCTGCTTCCTTTGCTTAAGGCCCACTATTTTTTTTCAATTTTGTTTATTGTGATAAAATAAATATACAATTTACATTTTAACCCTTTTTAAGTGTACCATTCAATGGCATCAAGTACATTATTATTGTTGCAAAAACATCACCACCATTCATCTCAAGAACTCTTTTCATCTTATGACACTAAAACCCTATAGCCATTAAACGACTCCCCATTCCTTCCTTCCCTCAGCCCCAGGTAGTCCTTGTTTTACTTTCTATCTCTATGAATTTGACTACTCTAGATACCTTATGTAAATGGAATCATACAGTATTTGCGGGGTTTTTTTGTGACTGGCTTATTTCACTTAGCATTGTGTCCTCAAGGTCCATCCATATTGTAGCATGTGTCAAAATTTCCATCTCTTTTAAGGTTGAATAATATTCCATTGCACAGTATGTACATAGTACATTCTTCTTATTTATTTATCCATTGATGAATATTTGGGTATCTTCTACCTTTTAGCTATTGTGAATAATGCTGGTATAAATGCTGAAATGCAGATGTCTCTTCAATACTCTATTTTCAATTCTTTTGAGTATATATCCAGAAGTGGAATTTCTGGATAATATAGTAATTCTGTTTTCAATATTTTATGAAACTGAAATACTGTTTTCCACAGTGGCTGCACCATTTTATATTATCATCAGTTGTGCACAAGAGTTCCAATATATTGACACTCCTTGCCAATATGTGTTATTTTCTGACTTGATACTAGTCATCCTAATGGGTATGAAGTGGTATCTCACTCTCTTTATTTGCATTTCCTTAGTGATTAGTAATGTTGAGCATCATTTAATGAGGACCTACTAGATATTTAAGCTCCTTTTTTTTCTTCCGCAGTTTTGATACTTCTAGAGAGGTCCACCTGGCATACATGTTGACTTTAGTTCTGTGTTTAATTCTTTTTTTCATTCATAGGTACTATGCCCTCTTATTACTTCCTCATTTCTTCATTGCTTATAGTGAGCACTCTTATTTCAGAGTTTGCTATAGTTCATATTTGATTATTTCAGCTTTTCTGATGTTTAGAGGTTTTATTCTATGATAAATTAAGATGGTAATATTAACGGAATAACATTAAAGTATCTATTTTTACTGATAGGGTTTCTTTCTAAAAGACTATCCACAGCACATTCATTCATAAGCTTAATGAATCTAAATCTGAACATCTTCTTATCTTTCCTATTAAGTCTGATGCTCCTACAATCTTCTTCCATGTAGCATTTGAATTTCTTCAACAGAGACTTACTGAGTGACATGGCTATAAAATATCAAACATAAGTGAGGGCTCTAAAATTAGAGTCATTTATTTATAATCCTTGTTTCACAGCCTAATAGGATGAGGGCTGTGGGAAAGTCATTAACTTCTTCAAGCTGAAGTTTACTCACATAAACAGGGATAGCAATAGAACCCATCTAGCCCTTACTCTAAATAGATGTGGGACACTGAGTAAGAACTGGCTAGCTGTCAGACATTATTTTTTTTTCAGATATTTAAAGACAGTCCCCATATCAGTTATTCTGTTGTTGTCCACATAAAAATGCAGACACATTTCAAATTTTCTGATATTTCAGAATATGTATTTCCTCCCACAGAGAGGAGTTCAAGTGCTGCAAAAGTACAAAGAGAATATACTGGTTTACATATTTCAAGATTTGTATCAGAATATATAACACTATATTTTTATCGAGATAATTTTACATATGAGAGACTAATGAGGAAAAGAGAATGGAAGTAAAAATATCAGTTAAGGCTCTGAAAAAGTATTTTAATTGAGAATTAAGCCCTAAATGAAAAAGGTGACAATGGAGAAGTAGAGATTTATCTGAAAATTAGGACTAAATCCAACAGAGTTCATAGATGATTATACTCGAGAAACAGGGGCAAGCAGGATTTACTCTGAGTATTTGTCTTTGTATCTGAGTGTCCCCCTAATTCGGTGGTGCTCTTAACGAAATACGAAAGAAGGGAGCATTGACAGGTTTGGGAGGGAAGGAAATGCCCTAATGTTCTCTAATTGAATTTGAAGTGCTGAAATAATTCCTAGAAAGAAGTGTACAAAGACATGTATGGGCCAGAAAATAGATTAATAGGCGTGAGAATTGAGGCCGTGAGTGTGGAAGAAAAATAGAAGGAATAAAGGCAAGAGAAGCCAAAGATAAGCTAACCAGACATACGTCAATAGATAAACAGTCTTAAGCCAAACTTATGCCCAAATTATAATAGTATAAGAAATGTTACTGGAATTTTTTTTATATATTAAGGAACATAAGGTGTGTCATTATATGTGCAAAATATACACACAAACATAATATATTCCTTTTATATATTGGGCTCTTTTTTGTCAAAAGAGCTAATTGTAATTAAGGTATAGGAAATAAGCATAGCAAATTCTCTGAGTGAGAGTATACTGTGGCGTAAGTCAGAGAACTTGAGAAAGCAGAAATTGAGACAAGAAAAACAATTTGGATTCAGTCACATGCACAAAATCAACATCACAGAAGATCAAGGAGAGAATGGTGTGAGTAATGATTTCTGAGTTTATATGCCTTCTAAAAGTTCGAGATGAAAAGAAAAGAGGCAAAACAGTGAAAACCACCTTCAAGTCAAGGAAAGATGTTTTTAGCCGAGATCGAGATTTATGCAATTTTGTAGTCAAACAGGAGCCAGAAGAAGAGAGAAAAGACGGCAGTGAGGGAATGAGAACATCTGAAAGCCGGAAGAGAGCAACAGTATAGTCCTTGAGAAGTCAGAGGAACCAGAAATGTGGTATTACTAGGAATTTGAGGAACATAGGGGTAAGCGAAGGCCAGAATGCCAAACTGAAAACATGTTCTCCTATTCCACAGGGGAAAAACTAGGCATTTGGAGTCTTCAATAACTAATGTGATAATTAGCTGAATGATATTTAAGCTGGTTCTAGTACAAATTTAAATAAATGTTCTATTATAATCCAAAATATGTCAATAATACTTAGCAATTATCTATAAATTTCAGGAATAAATAATGCAGAAGTTAAGAAAAAAATGTGTAATATTGTAAATAGGGATTTAGGCAAAATTAAGGGCAAAGTTTAAACATATGGATGTTGTAGTTACATGGAAGAAAGTTTTGATTAACCTGAACCTATGTATATAAAATTCTTATTCAAAGCTCAGATTTTTAAAATATAAAATGAAAAACATTAAAGGCACTGAGTTTACCTGTTCAGTATCTGCCATATATGTATAGGCTGATTGATCATAGATTTTTATAAAAAAATTTTTATCAGTAAATATATTCAGGTACCTACACCTGTCAGAACATTTCTTTAAAAAAAAAAGATTCAACTTTTATTTTAGATGCAGAGGTACATGTGCAGGTTTGTTACCTAGGTATATTGCACTCAGGTAGTGAGCATAGGTAGTGAGCATAGTACCCAAGAGGTAGTTTTTCAATGCGCACGCTCCTCTCTCCCTCCTGTAGTGGTCCACATTGTCTATTGTTCTCATGTTTGTGTCCATGTGTCCTCAATGTTTAGCTCCCACTTATAAGTTAGAGCGTGTGGTATTTGATTTTCTGTTCCTGCATTAATTCACTTAGGATTATGACCTCCAGCTCCATCCATGTTGCTACAGAGGACATGATTTCCTGCTTTTTTATGGCTGCATAGTATTCCATGGTGTATATGTACTACATTTTCTTTAATCCACCATTGATGGGCTCCTATGTTGATTACATATCTTTGCTGTTGTGAATAGTGCAGTGATGAACATAGGAGTGCATGTACCTTTTTTGTGCAATGATCTATTCTTCTTTGGGTATATACCCACTAATGGGATTACTGGGTCAAATAGTAACTCTGTTTTAAGTTCTTCGAGAAATCTCCAAACTGCTTCCACAGTGGCTGAAACCATATTCCCACTAACAGTGTATAAGCATTCTTTTTCTCCACAGTTTCACCAGAACCTGCTGTCTTTTGACTTTTTAACAAAAGCCATTCTGACTGGTGTGAGATGGTATTCCATTGTAGTGTTGAATTGCTTCTCTCTGATGATTAGTGATACTGAACATTTTTTCATATTTTTTTTGGCCACTTGTATGTCTTCTTTTGAGAAGTGTCTGTTCAGGACATTTCTGTATTCTTTGTGACACTACTAGCCTTTATTTCTTCCTAGTGTGTATGTGTGTGTGTGTTTGTGTGAAAGAGAGAGAGAGAGAGACAAAGAGAGAGACACACACACAGAGAGAGAGAGAGAGAGAGAGAGAGTAAGGGAGAGAGAGAGAAATAAAATTCCATCATGAATATGTCCCAAAAAGGTCTTACGGAAAATGTATCAGCATTCATCTTTTCCAAACAACACCTAAATATTAATGGTGGCTTTCAGCTAATCATGGCAAAACAATTCTAAATAAAGGTTTCTTTCTTTCTTTTCAACCTTTTGATAAATAATTTAAATTTCCCTATATTTTGTGCTAGGTGAACTTTATTTTAGTGAGGCTTTGAATTGAAAGCTGATTTTAATGCTCTATTTTCTGAATATTTCATAGTAATTTTCAGAATCCAACTGAACAAACATATTTTAGCAGTAATTCCTTGATCTGTAATAACTTAAGTAATTTCATTCATGCTTAAAAAAGAGTAAAAAGTCAATGTAAAAGGTAAATGTAACAAGATAAAGGGCCACATGTTTTAAGAATTATTTTTTCTAAAATCCTACTGGCATTTAATTAGACAAAGTAGAAAACACAACTATGAAGAACTTGATAGCATCATTCTCTACATATGATAATGCTTACCATAAATTTAAGCAGTTTTCTGAAAGAAAACTAATGTAGTTTTCCATTTTCTATAAATCAACATAAAATATACTGTGTATATTTATACTGTACATCATAAATATATGCTACTTTCACCAATTTTTTAAAAATTTAAATTTTTTTTTTTAAATTTAGAAAATTCTCTATCTTTGAAGACCGTTTGACTCTGGTTATAGTTTATAAATCTCCTTTTAAAATACCATAAAAGGCCAGGTGTGGTGACTCATGTATGTAATCCCAGCACTTTGAGAGGCCAAGGCAGGAGAGTTGCTTGATCCCAGGAGTTCGAGACCAGCCTGGTCAATATAGCAAGACCTTGTCTCTACAAAAAAAATTAAGTTATCTAGGCATTGTGGTGTGCACCTGTAGCCCCAGCTTCTCAGGAGGCTGAGGCAGGAGGATCACTTAAGCCCAGGCGGTTGAGGTTGCAGTGTGACATGGTCACATCACTGCACTCTAGCCTAGGCAGCAGAACAAGACCCTGTCTCCAATAATAATAATAATAATAATAATATAATAATCAAAGTGCATTAATATATTCATTATACAAACATTTCATCTTTTTATAATTGTGTTGGAAAATAAAATGTACTGTATGTATTACTGAATATGTCTTTATATCAAGTCCTTGAATATAAAATAACTATTTTAAATCTTTTATAACTTTGATGATGTTGGAGTTTTAAAATGTAATAGGATATACATCCTCTCTATCAGTCTTGAGACTACAGATTTCATGAGGACAGAGCAGATACAATTACAGACCAACAAGAGTCAGACTTAACTTTTAGAGTTCCCAAGAACCTTTTGATTGAGAAAATTTATTTCTCAAAATAATGTAACATTTTTCTTTGATGCAAGACAAACTTAGATTGTAATGATGGTTTTCAGTTAACGATGCCAAAACAATTGAGCCTTATTTATTAGAGCAATATTTCAGCTTAAGAAAGATCCATTCCATTTTTTTTTTCTAAGAAATGCTGAAGATACGTTGCTTTGCTTAAAAACCTCCATGGATTCTCTAGGAAATTAATATGCAAGTTCAGATTTCCATTGGCAAGGGATTTCCCACTTTTCATTTTAGATGTAATTAATTATTACCATGTGTATGGTGTTAATAATACAACATTTTGTGTTCCCTACTGAAGAGACACTTCACTATTGGGATTTTTCATATTTGCCTTTGATCTTTATCTTAAAGATCTCCTTGTAGCTGAAGCTTAATGATTTAGTGTCACAACCTTGACAAAAATCAAGTGTAAAACAAAATTAAAAGAGAAGTTAAAAGGGTGAAAATAAATAAAAGGTAGAATGATATACTTTCCTTAGATAATAAACTCTCAGGAGTTCTTGGTTGAAAAAAAATTATGCTGGGAGTAGTAACAGAATTGTAGATGATATTTCTGCTGCTAAAAACTTCACAGGAAGCAGAAACAGCCTACTTTAGAATTGGGCCACAGATGCCAATGCGTAGATGTGGGAAGTGTAGATAATGAGGACTAGAAAGAGGGTAATACAACATTTCAGGAGTGCTGAACTGTTCAAATTCTTTCTGACAGCTTCTATTCAATAATATCCAAACTGAAATCCCACTTGCTCTTATCTACAATGGACAAGTATGAGATATTGGCAGTAAGGAGACAGATAAAGGAAATCATTCAAACCACCATGAGGTGAGGTCTGCATAGCTGCTCCAACTTTTTTTTTTTTTTTTTGGAATTCCAGGGAATAATCTTTCAATTCAAACATCAAAGAGAAAAATAAACTCAGCCTCTAACATGGAGCCTAAAATAAAGACTTATAGTTTTGCATCCTACAAAGATTGTTTTAAAATAATGAATAAAATAGGAAAAAAAAACAGAAAAGATAGAGAAAAGACAGTATATATACACAGAAAAGAATTTTTGCAATCAGTTATTCAGTAGTGCGATGTCTATATTTCTTACAACAGCAAAAGTGAGGAAAATATTCTTCATTTCCTAAAATATTTTAAATATCATTGTTGCTATTCTCATGGATAGTTTTGAGTTCTAAATATATAGCAGCTGTAGCAAATTATTTCTCCATGATACTTTAAGCTTTTTGAGTTTGCAATCTAAGCTTTGTATTTAAATTTATACTGAGAATCCACATTCTTTCAATAATGTACATGAGTTAATATACTCATACTTTCAAGGAATCTATTCTTAATACCTAAAAAATATGAAGAGATTAAAATTGAATTCATAGCATCTTAAGTCCTATCATATACTGAAAAGAGAATATAAAACTAGGATATGAGGAAATTCCTTAAAATTATATTCTATCAAGAAATACTTTTTAAACACTGATTTTATGCAAGGCAGTTTATTAGGTGCTATGTAATGTTAAAAAATGAAGCTCCTATTCTTAAAGAATATAGCCACTAACCTATTTCTGAATTCTATATTTTCTTACTTTGTTACAATAATTTACAATAATTATCTAACTGGTTTTTCTTCATCCAGCTTTTCCCTTTAAAGCCACCTGAGTTCTTGTTTTGAATCTATTTCAGTTTTTTTTTTTTTCAGTATAAATGTCTTCCATTGAAGACCCCTGCAAATTTGTTTTTCAGGGACAAAAATAACATGTCAATGAATGAAGGTCTTCCCCTCTAGGTTGAACATTACATAAATTCAGAGATCATATTGTAATTACATTTTCCTTAATCAATAGATACATACCTGTTGAGTTGAAAGGTAGTATAAATTTAATTGCTTTCAACACCAAATAAATGGAAAATATTTTCAAAAGAATTTTTGTAAAGAAAGAAGGAAACCTTCAGTTTGCTATTCAAATTCGTACTAAAAATGCAAATTATTTGAGTAGTAAGTCACTTTGTAAGTTTCACATTTTGTTGGACACAATCTATATTTAAAATTAAGGATTGAAAGTTGTAAGAACAAGAATAATTTCTTATACAATTAAAGATTGCCAACGAAAATGTTTATTTTACAAATCAAGGGATTATTTAATTCTAAGTACATTTATTTAAATATTACTGCCTTTGGCTAATGAATGAGAAATTAGTAGAGAGTAAAGAAAGAAGAATAAGTATAAACCAGAACTTAAGAATTACCAGAATGAAAGTGGCCCATGGTTTATTTAATTAAATATTACCAACCCACTGATGATGGGGCATTTGCCTAGAGGGCAATGTTCTCCATGATAATAATCTTTAAGTATATCTGTATTGCTTTATCCACTTCTTATAAGTCCTCCATCTATGTATTTTTCAAATGCTTCTTGAACCTATTAATAGTTTTAATGTGTATCACAGCTTTAATATACTGATTTAAGCCAATTAAATCCAAATAATATTTACCAAGCACTTATGATAAACCCAGCCTCTATTCTGACAAAGAGATACAGAGACAAAACAGCATCTTTTGTTTTTAAGACAGTTGGCTAACATAAACATTGTTATGAAAGAGTGATAAAACTGGTAAAATTACACAAAAAGTATTATAGGATCCCTTTAGGAGGAACACTTAACTAGTACTAGTGGGGCCACAGGTTTTCAAGCTAGTCAGAAAACTCGAGGTGAAGCTAGGCAGTTAGAAGTAGGGGAAGATAAAGGAAGAAATGGAAATTCCAAGCAGAGGAAAAAAATGTGATTAAAACCAGAGAGAAGCATGAATCAGTGGTGCTGGAAACTAAAGACAGCTCAAAGTTGCTGGGAGATAAACCTCTCAAAACGACATTTAGAGAATGACTGCTATTTGTAATGTCTTCAAATTTGGTGAATAAAAATGTATTGAGTTGTCTTTTTATTTAGATGTCCTTAGATTACCTTAGAATAGTCATCATAAGAATAATAATAATGACTATCCTTTGTTTAAGGGTAGCTAGTTGTGCTAAGTACTTTGCATGTCATATAACTTTATCCTCACAAAATAGTTTGAAGAAGGTTATATTCCCAGCTACATTTTACAGAATGAGGAAATAAGCAAGTAAACTTACCCATTTAAGTTCTCATTTTTTCCAAGTGTAAGAATCCAAATAATTTGAGATGCCTTCTCTGAGCACTTTAGGTTTCTCTGTATCATTTTGAGGTAATAATTAGTCTTACTAATTGCTATTTCAAGCAAAGAACTTTTTAAGTGATGTTTTTTGGTGCTAAGAAATTGCTTGTTATTTTCTCTGTTCTCCGGAATAATGTAGAATTTTCTATGAAAAATAGCAACCCTCTTTGTCACTGATTTTATTTGAGAGATAATTATTTTTGCTCCCCAAAGCTCTTTAACTCCATACCTCATTTTTAATCACTTTCTAAATTACCATCATTTATTCAGTCATTCAGGATTAAATCATGGTTATTATATTTTAATATCTGTTCTCTTTACCTTCTTTGAACTGACAAGTTTCTCTGCAAAAATGGATGTACTGTCCCTGCCTTTTGAAGCAGATGATGTATCTAGTATTACAACAGCGTCACTACTGTGACCTCTTAATCTTGATTAAACTAATTTCCTATTTTGAAACCACCCAGTATCATATTTCTCCCTAGAGCTCAGACAAAAATTAGTATTTCTTTATATTGTCATTAACTTGTTTTTCTGCATTTAGAATATTTTTATTACATTTCTGACATTTAAAAAAGGAACTATGTCAACAACTTAAAGAAATTCCATTTGGCATATTATAATTAAATCCCATTCAGCCCCACCCAAAATTCCTTTCTTCCTTTTGTTGATATTTCCTTCATTGAATCAAAGTATTTATTTTGTTCTAGGCCTTTACATTATTTTATAGATTTATATTATTTTATAAGATATTTTGGTTCTGAAACTTGAAAGTAATTCATTTCTATTTATATGAAGAGATTTATTATTTTCTTTATATTTGACACTAATAATAGCATCATGCTGTAAAAATGAAATCCTAGTTGAGCTTAAAAATGTTCAACTTTCCATCTATTCCTAACCCAAATCCTCAGTGTACTACATTCTTAACCCACATTACCTATCTCTTTTGACCAGCTGTTCTCAAATGTTAGTGTGAAAAATAATTGCTTCAATAGCTCATTAAAATGAAGATTATCTGGCTCCAACATAGGATGGCAGGATAAGATACAAGAATTTTTATCTGTAATAAACTTCATTATAGAATTATAATATAGAGGGGTCCTCAAGTAGACTTAAGAATCACTGCATATGACTGCTATAGAACACTCACTTTTACAGGGCTGTCCTTTTGGTTGGGAAGTTCCTAGATACATATTCCTTGAAAGTTCACATAATTAATTTATTTAAAAATAATTTTATCGAAGCAAAATTTATGTACTGTAAAATTCACTTGTAAGAATATAATTCAAGACTTTTAGAACTTTTATTGGATCATGTAATCATTATCACAATCAAATTTTAGGAATATGCCCATTATTCCAAAAAATTTACTTATGCCTTTTTGTTGCCTTCGTTTTGCTTTCTGTCATTACACATTTGCCTTTTCTGGAGATTCCATGTAAATGAAATCATGCACAACGGTATTTTGTATGGCTTTTTCACTTAGCATAGTGATTTGCGATAAATCCATGTTATTTTAAAATCAGTGGTTCATTCCCTTTCATTGATGAATAGTATTCCATTGTTGAATTTACCATATTTTTAAAACATCTCACTAGCTGACAGACATTTGGATGGTTTCCAGTTTTTGTCTATTATGAATAATACTGCAGATTTGTGTATGAGTCTTTTTGTTTATATTTTTATTGGGTAACTTTATATAATTGATTCTTAAAACCATGTGTCCAATATTGAAATATTTTATTTCCATAATCAAAATGGTATTATAAAAATACTTTTTATTTCTCAGTTTATTTACATATATTCCTTATGTTACATTAAAGAGACTATTTGTAGACCATGTGTCAGAGATCACTAGCTATCTAACCCAAGCTTTATGTGCCCTTTCTCTTTAAGGAACATAATTTTGACTTTTACTTGATATGTTGTCACCTGAATGAAAATACTTCCCAAGTTCCTTTGTAGCTAAGTGTGGCCATGTGACTGAGTCTCAGCCAGAGTTGTAACTAAATATGATGTTTAGAATTTCTAGGAGGGCTGCATAGAGCAAGTTTACCAAGCTTTGGGTCAGTGAAGATAGGTACTTCCCCTCTGTGTTAGGGGTGAATAAAATTAAAAATAGATCTTCATATCAAAGAAATGCTAGACAGAGTTATTTGAAATGAGCAAAACATGGTAGAGTCTCTCTCAGATGTATGCAGATGACAACTACAAAAACAATTTTTTAAAGAATGATTTTGTATGTCATGTTTTGGGAACAAGTAACGAGATGAATGGCTTTGTTTTATTTTAAAGCAAGGGTAATATGTCTTGATGTCATTTGTCCATGAATACAACAATGAAAAAGTTCATATAAATAGTTTTGTTATACAGATGGTAATATTTTTTGTTATATACAAAGTAAGTATAGAAAAAGGAACAATGTTTGTTCCTTGCCACAATACCTTTGCTACTTCTTTCAGGCTTAAACGATGATACAATGTCTGGGATTCTAGCATCCACCTTGGATCATAAAGTAAACTAGAGGATAGAAGCCATTCCTTGGGAAGAACAAAAAATAGAAACTGGGTCCCTGCCAAATTAGAGGAATAATCCACAAGAACACTCTTACTTCTGACACCAACTGCAAATCTCAGGATTGCCCAAGACCACTCTTAGGTTTGATAATTTGCTAGAACTCTCAGACTTCACTAAAGCTCTTTTACTTATGGTTATGGTAATACTACAGTTAAAGGACTAAATAAAGTCAAGGGAAGAGGCACATAAGAGAAAGCCCAAGTAAGTTCCAAACACAGAGAGTCTAGCTTCCAACTTACAGTTGTCATCTCCCCTTGGAGTTGTGGACAATGTTAATTTCCTATCAACAAAGTGTAACAATATGCACAGATTATGCCTAACCAGGAAGCTCAGCAGAGCCTTGGTGTCTAGAGTCTATCATGTGAATCTTGGTGATCACCCATGTTTCTGACCTCCGTCTCCAGCTCTTCTGGAAGTCAACTGATATTGTGACCCAAAGCCAGCATCCTAAATCGTCTTGTTACTATCTGGTCCAGCCTAAGGTCCTCAACCTGTATATATATCTCACTGTAAACCACGCTGTTATATATAGCTGGCCCAAACTCCCCAGGGAAACAGACTTTCATCAGGCAGGATATTCTAAGGATTTAGGGATTTCTGCCTAGGAACCAAGGAAAAAGAATAGACCTCTCTTTGAGTAAGGTTAAACTATTTACTACACAATCTCTGATGACACCAGGAAGCAACAATAACATACCTGGACTGTCTAGCTCCAGGCTTTCTTAATAAATATGAGTGATTTTTTTTTTTTTTTTGAGACAGCATCTCACCCTGTTGGCCAGGCTGGAGTGCAGTGGCACAATCTCGGCTCACTGCAACCTCCGTCTCCAAGGCTCAAGCAATTCTCCTACCTCAGCCTCCCAAGTAGCTGGGATTACAGGCGTGTGCTACCATGCCCAGCTAATTTTTGTATTTTTGGTAGACATGGGATTTCACCATATTGGCCAGGCAGGCCTTGAACTCCTGACCTCAGGTAATCCTCCCACCTCGGCATCCCAAAGTGCTGGGATTACAGGCGTCAGCCACTGGGCCCAGGCAAATATGAGTGATTTTAATGTTATTTACATTTTTGGGAAGCATATTTTTTTTTTTTTGGCTATGCACAACCAAACTCTATCCTACCATTATCCCTAAACAACCAACATGAGACTGTTTAACACAGGTAACACAGAGAATAGAATATACTCTGTATAACTTCTTCCTAAGAGTACATTAAATATTTAAGAATAAAGCACAATTCATATTAAAAATCTATGTTTTATAAGAAGACATGAAGCTGTTATGATTGCATAAAATTATATAATTAAAGAACAGCCATCCAAATGTAAGAATGTTATGTAAAAGTTAAATATAAAAAAGAATAAAAAATAACATTCTAGAGATAGAGAGATATAGTCCTATACACTAATAAATAAATGGTGTTAATATGTATGTGGTAATTTTGAACAAAAATTTTTTTTATTATACTTTAAGTTTTAGGGTACATGTGCACAATGTGCAGGTTAGTTACATATGTATACATGTGCCATGTTGGTGTGCCGCACCCATTAACTCGTCATTTAACATTAGGTATATCTCCTAATGCTATCCCTCCCCGCACCCCACAACAGGCCCTGGTGTGTGATGTTCCCCTTCCTGTGTCCATGTGTTCTCATTGTTCAAGTCCCACCTATGAGTGAGAACATGTGGTGTTTGGTTTTTTGTCCTTGCGATAGTTTGCTGAGAATGATGGTTTCCAGCTTCATCCATGTCCCTACAAAGGACATGAGCTCATCATTTTTTATGGCTGCATAGTATTCCATGGTGTATATGTGCCACATTTTCTTAATCCAGTCTATCATTGTTGGACATTGGCTTGGTTCCAGGTCTTTGCTATTGTGAATAGTGCCGCAATAAACATACGTGTGCATGTGTCTTTATAGCAGCGTGTTTTATAATCCTTTGGGTATATACCCAGTAATGGGATGGCTGGGTCAAATGGTATTTCTAGTTCTAGATCCCTGAGGGATCGCCACACTGACTTCCACAATGGTTGAACTAGTTTACAGTCCCACCAACAGTGTAAAAGTGTTCCTATTTCTCCGCATCCTCTCCAGTACCTGTTGTTTCCTGACTTTTTAATGATCGCCATTCTAACTGGTGTGAGTAGGTTGTTTCTTTTACTAGCTATTTCATCATTCAACTCCTGTATTGTTTTATTGTGACTCTTAGTTTCCTTGGCTTGGGTTTTGCCATCCTGATGTATCTTGATGATCATTCCTATGCACATTCTGAATTATATTTCTGTCATTTCAGCAACCTCAGCCTGATTAAGAACTCTTGTTAAGAACTGCTGTGGTTGTTTGAAGGACATACGACACTGGCCACTTGAGTTACTGGTGTTCCTGCATTCATTCTTTCTCATCTCTGCATATGGGTGTTTCTTTAACTGCAGCATAGATTGAGTACAGTCAATAAATTTATTTTCTGGTTGTTTTCACAGGGCTGAGGCTTTGTGCAGGTCTTTATTTGAAGCTGACTTCTTGTCTTTGGTTTCAGAGGGGGCATATTAGCAAGGTGTTTTTGATGTTGAACCTTTGGGGAATGAGCCAATAGGTGACACTTAGGTGTATTGGCCAGTTGGTAGACCCTTGCTTGGTTGTGTGACTCCCCTGTGTTTCTTAAAAGTTGCAGTCATATTTCCTCTCAATTATCTGAAAGGGTGGGTTTCTCCCCCTTGATTACTGGATGTAGATCACAGCTTGGCATGCCTGGGCTGTCCACTGCAGCTCTGGGGTAATCTCAGTATTATGTCCCTTCCCCAGTGTGACAGCAGCAGAAGAAAGGAACTTCGTGGTGGTTGTGGCCAAGGTCTTTTGCTTGTCACCTAGGGGCTCCCCCTTAGAGAGATGCAGGTCAGCAATTGCTCAGTGCAATGAGCCCAGGATGGAGGGTTCGTGCTGTGGGCCTAAGCCAGGAGTTCTCTGTCTGGTGACAAGCAGTGGGGTAGGGTTGGAACCCATGGGAGATAGACTGGCTTCCTCTCCTTGGGTTGACTGCAGCTTATTATAGGTGTGGAGAAGACCCTTAAGATCTTTGCTTCTTTGTTAGTCTGAGGATAGCAAATGCAGAGGCAGAGATTTCACTGCAGAGGCAGTGGCAGAGAGGCTTTCAGTTGCACCTGGCGGCCCTGTCCAGGAAGTTGACAAGCTGTTCTTGGCTCTATAGCTCTGGCAGGAGATAGCTGACGGTCCAAGCCTGGAGGAACTGCCCAGTGAAGAGATATGGGAACAGGCACCATGTAACCGTCTGGTCACTTTTCCATAGGGCTGCTGTGGTATGCTGGGAGCCTGCTCTAGTCTCTACTCACCTCAGATTTTCCAGTTCCTGCAGGTATCAACAATGAGGCTGCAAAGTTGCAAAGCTGGTGGCCTGCCTTTCCCTCTGGGAGCTCTGTCTGGGGATACAAATTTGTTGCTAGCCCAAACACACCTGTAGGAGATGAGTAAAGACCCCAGTTGGGAGGTCCCACCAGGTGAGGAAGAATGGCATTAGGGACCCACTTTAAAAAGCAGGCTGGTCGTGTTATCATAGAGCAGCTGTGCTGTGCTGGAGACCACTTTCACCCCTGCTCAGCTTGGACTCTCCAAAGCACAGAGGCTGAAATGGCTAAGTTGCCCAAACAGCAAAGGTGGCGGTCCTCCCCTCCCGCTGGGAGCTCTGTCCCAGGGAGGTTTCAAATTTCTCTCAGCCGAACAACACCAGTGGAGGTGGCCGGAGACCCTGGTTGGGTCTGGCCAGTGAGGAGGAATTGTATTGGAGGCCTGCTTAAAAAAGAAATCTGGCCGCGTTTGTAGAGCAGCTGTACTGGGGGACTGCTTCTGCCCCTAGTTGGCTTGGACTCCCCAAAGTCCTAAGCCTGTAACAGCTAAGTCACCCAAACAGCAAAGATGATGGCTCACCTCTTCCCCTGGAAGCTCCATCTCAGGGAGGTACAATGCCAGATACAGGTGGCTGGCTGGAATTCTAAGCTACTGGGTCTTATCCTGTGAGGTGCCATCAAAGTGGGGCATGCAGACTATCGCTGCTCAGCCCTCTGGATTGATCCCCTTTCTTAGGGGTATGTACAAGGGTCTGAACTCCTGTTTTGCCAGAGTTGCAGCTGCTTTTGCCAGGAAGCCTGGAGAGCCTGTGTATCAAAGTCTTTCCCATCTCCTCATGTGCCTAAGTGTCTGCTCTGCCAAAACTCCACGTAGCTCTGTGTGTCAGACTGAAGGTCCTGGTGGAGAGGGTTCATGAGCAGATCTCCTGACCTGAGGATTGCAAAGATCTGTGGAAGAAGCACGGGTTCTCAGGTTGCAGATTCACTCGCCACTTACTTGGATGGAGGAGGTTCCCCTGGCTTCATGTCACTCCCAGGTGGACCATTGTCTTGCCTTGCTTTTCTCCATTCTCCATAGGTTGAGTTGTTTCCTTGATTAGTCCCCATGCATGTACCTAGATGTTTTAGTTGAAAGTGCTATATTTATTCACAGTTCTGTTCCACTTTAGTTGAAAGTGCTATATTTACTCACAGTTCTGTTCCACTTTAGTTGAAAGTGCTATATTTACTCACACCCTCTCTGTGAGAGTTGCACATACTAGTTGCTTCTAGTTGGCTTTCTTGGTACCCCTGTCTCCCCCGACCCCACCCCAACCACACCCCACCGCATGTATCTTTTTTCCCATATTGATATATTTTCCTTTGAAAGTCTACCCAGTAATGGGATTGCTGGGTTGAATGTTATAGTAGCTCTGTTTTAGGTTGTTTGAGAAATCTCCAAACTGATTTCCAGAGTGGCTGAATTAATTTACATGCCCACCAAGAACGTATAAGTATTCCCTTTTCTCTTCAGCCTCACCAGTATGTGTTGTTTTTATATATTTTTTTAATGACAGCCATTTGACTAGTGTGAGGTGGTATCTCAGTGTGGTTTTGATTTTCATTTCTCTGATGATTATTGATGCTGAGCATTTTTTATATTTATTGGCCTCTTGTATGTTTTCTTTTGAGAAGCGTCTCTTCATGTCTTCTACCCATTTCTTAATAGGCTTATTTGTTTTTGGCTTGTTGATTTGCTTAAGTTCCTTATAGATTCTGGATATTAAACATTTGTCAGATACATAGTTTGTGAAAATTTTCTCCCATTCTATAGGTTGTTTGTTTATTCTATTGATATTTTCTTTTTCTGTGCAGAAGCTCTTTAATTAAATTAGGTCCAATTTTTGTTTTTGTTGCAATTGCTTTTGGGGACTTAGCCAAAAAATCTTTGCCAAGGTCAAACCAAAAGTATATTTCAAGGTTGTCTTCAAGGATTTTTGTAATTTTAGGTCTTACATTTAAATATTTCTTCCACTTGTGGCCGGGCATGTCACCTCACGCCTGTAATCCCAACAGTTTTGGAGGCCGAGCAGGGTGGATCAACTGAGGTCAGGAGTTGGAGACCAGCCTGGCCAACATGATGAAACCCTGTCTCTACTAAAAAAATATCAAAAATTAACTGGGTTTGGTGGTAGATGCCTGTAATCCCAGCTATTCAGGAGGCTGAGACAGGAGAATCACTTGAACCTGGAACGTGGAAGTTTCAGTGAGCCAAGATTGCACCACTGCACTCCAGCCTGGATGGCAGAGCAAGACTTCATCTCAAAATAAATAAATAAATAAATAAAATATTTAATCCATTTGGTTAATTTTTTCATATGGTGAATGGTACTGATCTAATTTCATTCACCTGCACATGGCTAGCCAGTTATCCTAGCACCACTTATTGAATAGGGAATCTGTCCTCATTGCCTGTTTCTGTCAGCCTTGTTGAATTTCAGATGATTATAATTGTGAGGCTTTATTTCTGAGTTTTCTATTTTGTCCCATTGATCTGTGAGTATGTTTTTGTACAAACTGTTTCGGTTACTGTGGCCTTACAGTATATTTTGAAGTTGAGTAGTGTGATGCCCCTGGCTTTGCTCTTTTTGCTTAGGATTGCTTTGGCTATTTGGGTTCTCTTTTGGTTCCATATGAATTTTACAATAGCTTTTTCTAATTCTGTGAAAAATGGCATTGATAGTTTTGTAGAAATCGCATTGAATGTGTAAATAACTTTGGACAGTATGGCTGTTTTAATGATATTGATTCTTCCAATCCATGAGCATGGGATGTTTTTTCATTTATTTGTGTCATCTCTGATTTCTTTCAGCAGTGTTTTGTGGTACTCCATATAGAGATCTATCACCTCCCTGATTAGCTGTATTCCTAGATATTTCATTTATTTGTGGCTATTTAAAGTGATATTGTGTTCTTGATTTTATTATAAGCCTGGATGTTATACTTCTAGTAGTCGTTTGTAGAGTCTTTAGGACTTTTTAGGTATAGGATCATATTATCAGTGAAGAGAGATAGTTTGACTTCTTATGTTCCTATCTGAATGCCTTTTATTTATTTCTCTTCCCTAATTTCTCTGGCTAAGCCTTCCCATAATACATTGAAAAAGAGTGGTGAGAGTCAGCATCCTTGTTTTGTGCTGGTTCTCAGGGGAAAGTTTCCAATTGTTGCCCATTCAATTCAGTATTATGTTGGCTATGGGTTTTTCATAGATGACTCTTATTATATTGAGATATGTTCCTTCAATGCCTCATCTGAGGTTTTTATCATAAGGAATGCTGGATTGTATTGAAACCTTTCTTTGCATCTACTGAGATGATTATATAGTTGTTGTTCTTAATTCTGCTTATGTGGTTAATCACATTATTGATTTGTGTATGTTGAACCAGCCTTACATACCCATCCCAGAAATAAAGCCCACTTGATCATCGTGTGTTAAGTTTTTGATGTGGTACTGAATTCAGTTTGATAGTATTTTCTTAAAAATTTTTGTGTCTATGTTTATCAGGGCTATTGGCCTGAAGTTTTCTTTTTCTTTTTCTTTTTCATTGTTGCTGTGTCTCTGCCAGATCTTGGCATTAGGCTGATACTGGCTTTATAGAATGAGCTGGGCAGGAGCCCCACCTCCTCAATTTTTTGGAATAGTTTCAGTAGGATTGATACTAGTTTTTCTTTGCATGTCTAGTAGAATTCAGCTGATAATCCATCTGGTCTAGGGAATTTTTTGGTTGGTAGGTTTTTCTTACTGATTTAATTTCAGAGCTTGATATTGGTCTGTTCGGGGTTTCAGTCCCTTCCTGATTCATTGTGAGATTGTGTGTTTCCAAAAATTCATCCTTTTTTTTCCTAGATTTTCTAATTTGTGTGCATCCAGTTGTTCATAGTATTCTCTGAGGATCTTTTGTATTTCTGTGAGACTGGTTGTAATGTCATATTTGTCATTTTTGGTTGTACTTACCTGGATCTTCTCCTATTTTTTTCTTTGTTAATATAGCTAACAGTCTTTGATCTTATTTATTTTTTCAAAAAAGAAACTCTTGGTTTCATTAATCCTTAGTATGACTGTTCACATATCAATTTCATTAAGCTCTTTTCTACTTTTAGTTATTTCTTTTCTTCTGCTAGCTTTGGATTTTTTTTCTGGTTCCTGTAGGTGCAAAGTTAGATTATTAACTTGAGATCTTTCTAATTTTTCGATGAAGGCATTTAGCATTATAAACTTTCCTCTTAACACTGCTTTATCTGTATCCCAGAGATTTTGGTTGCTTGTATCCCTATTTTCATTAATTTCAAATATATATTTTTAATTTCTGCCTTAATTTAGATGTTCAGCCACGAGTTATTCAGGAGCAAGTTGTTTAATTTCCATGAATTTGTGCAGTTTGAGAGATCCTCTTGATAGTAATTTCTATTTTTATTGCACTGTGGTCCAAGAGTATGCTTGGCATGATTTCAAATTTTTTTGGATTCATTGAGACTTGCTTTATGACTGAGAATCTGGTCAATTTTAGCATATGTTCTATGCATAGTTTACAATAATGAATATTCTCTAGTTGTTGGGTGGGATTTTCCATATATGCCTATTAGGTTCAATTGGTTAAGTGTCGAGTTTAAATTCAGAATTTATTTATCAGTTTTCTGCCTCAATGATTGATCTAACACCGTAGTGAGGTACTGAGGTCTCCCACTATTATTTTGTGGTTATCAAAGTCATTTTGTATGCCAAGAAGAACTTGTTTTATGAATCCGAGTGCTCCAATGTTTGGTACATATATATTTAAAATAGTTAAGTCTTCTTTTTTGATTGTATCATTTATCATTATGTAATATCCTTCTTAATATTGATTTAAAGTCCATTTTATCTTGTATGAGAGTGGCAACTCCTCTTTTTAAGTTTTCCATTTGTGTGGTAGATCTTACTCTATCCCTTTACTTTAAGCCTGAAGGTCTCCTTACAGTGAGATGGGTCTCTTGAAGACATCAGCGGGTTGGATCATGGATTTTTATCCAAATTGCCACTTTGTTTTTTAAATGGGGTGTTAACCCATTACATTTGGGATTCACATTTATATGTGAGATTCTGACCCCGTTATGTTGTTAGCTGGTTGTTAAATAGACGATTTTGTGATTGCTTTATAGTGCTTGTGGGCTATGTGCTTAAATGTGTCATTATGGTAGCAAGTGTCATTGTTTTAGTTCCATGTTTAGCACTTCCTTAAAGATCTCTTTTAAAGCTGGCATAGTTGAAATATATTCCCTCAGGATTTGCTTGTCAATTTTGTTTCTCCTTCACTTACGAAGTTTAGTTTGGCAGGATATGAATTATTGGTTGGAATTTCTTTTCTTTAATGGTGCTGAAAATCAGCCCCCAGTTTCTTCTGGCTTGCAGTGTATCTGCTGAGAGGTGTGCTGCTAACCTGATAGTGTTCCCTCTGTACATGACCCTTAACTCTAGCTGCCTTTAAGATGTTTTCCTTTTGTGTTGACCTCGATTAATCTAATGACTATGTGCCTTGAGGATAGTTGTCTTTCATAGTATCTCACCAGGGTTTTTGGTATTTCTTGAATTTATATGTCAACATCTCTAGTGACATTAGAGAAATTTTCATGGACAATATCTTCAGATATATTTTCCATGTTATTTATTCTCTCTCCTCTCTCAGGAATGTAATGAGTTGTAGATTTGGTCTCTTTACATAATCCCATATTTCTCAGAGTTTTTGATCATTTTTTAAAATAATTTTTTCTTTTTTTTTTGAGTTGATTTGAATTATTGGTCTTCAAGCTCAGAGATTATTTCCTCGCACTTGGTCTGTTATGTTGTAAATACTTCCGATTGCATTCTGACATTCTTGTGATGACTTTTTTAGCTCTGGAAGATCAGCTTGGTTCTTTCTTAAGATGAGTATTTCATCTTTCAGCTCTTGAACAATTTTCCTAGATTTGGGATTTCAACTTTCTCCTGAGCCTCGATGGTTTTCCCTACCATCCAGATTATGAATTCTATGTCTCTCAGTTTGGTCATTTCTGACTGTTTAAGAAGCAGTACTGAGAAGTTAGTGGACTCATTTGAAGGTAAGAGGACACCGAAATTTTTCATTGCCACAGTTGTACTGGCTCTTTCTCATATGCGAGGAATGGTGTTCATTTAACTGTGGTGTAATATGGGTATAGTCAGTTGGCTTTATTTCTGGATGTTTTCAGAGGACCAAGGATCTGTGCAGTGTCTTTATTTGTGGCTGACTTCTTGCCCTTGGTTTCACAAGACTGTATATCAGAAAAATATTTTCAGTGTTGTCATTTGGGCTGTGATCCATTATATGGTTCTTAAGAGTAGTGGTTGGTGGATAGGCTCTTACATATCCACACTGCTCCTCTGTATTTCCTCATGTTTGCAGCCGTGCTCTGTGGTGACAGGCAGAGAGTGGTGACCCCCTTACAAGATCCACTCTTGCACTTCAGGGGAGCCCACTTCTATCACTAGCACTGCACCCATGTTTCTTTTGTTAGGTGTTCCAGGATGTGGGGTTCTCTGGGGCAGACACCACATCAAGGAAATAGGTCTCACCTTTTCCAGGCCAACCCTGGAGAGGGAGGCACACCCCACTCCCATGGCACACACCCAAACCCAAGCAATCTACCCCTCTAAGAGTGTAGGCTTCTCTTAGTCGCGTGCTGACCACAGATCTTACCTTGACACTCCTGAGCTGTGCACTGTAGCCCTGGGGCAAAGCCAGGCTTTTTATTCCCTCCCCAGCTTGGGGGAAGCGGAGGCAAGGGCCTTGGCAGTAACAATTACAGAGTGCCTTTCACTTGTCTTTGGGAGCTGCACCCTAGAGGAACACAGAGCTGCTGCCAATTGGAATGATCAGCTGGAGGTGGGGTGGCTACCTGCTGGCCCAAGCTGAACTGGCTCTGCCTGAAAAAGAGCAGGGGGAAGAGTGGAGGGGCTCTCAGGAAAGACAATCTGGCCTCCTCTCTATAGGGTGGCTGTTGCGTGCTGTAGGTGTAAGTAAAGCAGAGACTTTTTGCTCCTTTCCCAGCCTGAGGTGAACAAGAGCAGGCACAGCACCAGACAGTGGCAGAAGGGCTATTAGTTGCCTCTGAAAGCACCACCGAAGAGATGCACAAAGCCATTGCCAATAGGAATATTCAGCTGAGGGTGGAACAGCTAGGTTGTGGGCCCATGGAGGAAGTTGGAAAGGCTTGCTTGGTGAGGAGCAGGGCGGCAGCAGTTTGTGGGGAGGACAGGCTGGGCTTCAACTCATAGGGTGGCTGTGGCTACTGGGGGTGCCAGCAAAGCAATCAGGGAATCAGGGTCTTTGTTTCCTCACTAGCCTGATGGCAGCAAGGGCAGGTACTGCTGTGGCAGCAATGCCAGAGAGCCTGTTGGTTGGCTCTAGGAGTTCCACCCCAAAGAAATGCAAGGCCACCACCACTGAAGTCATCAGGCAGGGGTAGGGCAGGCAGGAGTAGGCCATCCCTCCTGTCGAGTGAGGAGTAGCAGGGACAAGGACCCAAGTGGAAAACAGCC
The DNA here is from genome assembly GCF_000001405.40 of Homo sapiens. Lineage (NCBI taxonomy): Eukaryota > Metazoa > Chordata > Mammalia > Primates > Hominidae > Homo > Homo sapiens. Next base: position 62,338,436 of record NC_000006.12, on the reverse strand, counting down.
CTGGGGCTTTTCTGTACAGAGGCCTGGGACAGTTCTCAGGCTCTTTGCTCTCTCCCCAGCCTGAGAGCAGTAGGGGTCCAGTGGTGGCAGCAAGCTATCCTAGTGGGCCTGTTGGTTACTTCTGGTTACTCCCTCCCAGGGAAATGGAGAACCAGATGGAGTACTCAGACAGGTTTGGGGTGGTTGCCCGGGGGAGTTTGCCTGGTGTTATGGTCCCCACCATATCACCCACCCAAATCTCATCTTTTGTGTCCCCACCCAAATCTCATCTTGAATTCCCATGTGTTGTGGGAGGGACCTGGTGAGAGGTAATTGAATCATAGGGGCAAGTCTTTCCCATGGTGTTCTCATGATAGTGAACAAGTCTCACAAGATCTGATGGTTTTGAAAAGAGGAGTTGCCCTGCACAAGTTCTCTCTCTTTGCCTGCTGCCATCCGTATAAGACATGACTTCCTCCTCCTTGTCTTCTGCCTTGATTGTGAGGCTTCCACAGCCATGTGGAACTGTAAGTCCAATTAAACCTCTTTCTTTTGTAAATTGCCCAGTCTTGGATATGTCTTTATCAGCAGTGTGAAAATAGACTAATACACCTGGCGAGGTGCAGCAGAGATGAAGCCTGAAGGCTATCTTCTCCTCAGCACCGTGGATGTGGCCCCTATGCTGGGGGTATGCAAGAGTGTAGCCTCTCTTGTTGGCAGGTCTACAGCAGCTGGCTCCAGGTTGCTCATGGACCCAAGGTTCATGGGGCTCCATGTGGGCCTGAGCAGTGGCTTTGCCCTGAGCTGCTCTCCATGTTGGTCTGGAGGTCTTGAGTGGGTCAGGGGGACCTCCTGTCCCTGGGATTACAAAGATCAGTGGCAGAAGTATGGCTTCTGAGGGTTTTCACTCACTCACCCTTCCCCTCCATAGGGCATCTCCCCTCGCTCCACATCAATCCCAGAGAGGCAGCTGTCCTGCCTCACTCCTCTCTGCTATCCATGGATTGACATTGCTTCCTTAATGAATCCCAATGTGGCCCCCTGGATGATGCACTTAAAAAGCTAGTGTTTACTCACCACTCCGTTTCCTCTCTGTGAGAGCCTCACCACCAGTGCTTCTAGCCAGCCATCTAGTTTCTGCTTTTAAAGTCTTTCAACTGATTAGATGACCCCCACCCACATTATCCAGGGTAATCTCTTTTACTTGAAGAAAGCTGATCGTAGATGTTAACCATATCTACAAAATAACATTCACAGCAACACCTAGGTTGGTGTTCGGTTGTATTACTGGGTATTATAGCCTAGCCAAGTGGACACATAAAACTGACATTTACACATGGGCTATGGATTAAATCTGTCTTGGCACAAAGAAAGACAATGGTGTTAGTTTTGAGAACTTTTTTTCTATCTAATGTAGATTCAACTTTATTGCCTGTCGTTTGCGTTTTAAAGTAAACACACAGAATAACCAATTAAATAAAGTATGTAGAGCTATATGGTTACTGGAGCAAAAACTAACTTTGATTATTTTCTGAAAATGAATAAAAAAGAAAAACTATTGTGTAAAAGGCAGAAGTAACTGCTCTGTCTTTGCCTGCGTTCTCTTGAAGTAGAGGCTGAGATGGAGACTTGGGTTTAATTTATTTGGGAATGTAAGCCTAGGATGCAAGAGTGAGGGACACTTGAGTACACAGAGAAAAAGTAGGAACAAAAACATCTATCTATCTTGGGGGCCAATTCTGTGAGTAGAGAGTATGAGTACTTCACTGCTGAGGAATCTTATAAAATGCACTTCAGAATTGGCTTCCATTTCCTATTGGTCTAATGTACCCACCCTGGCCAAAACCCCACACTTCTACATGAGTGCCAAATAGATTTCTAAGACACTGGGGCAGAAAGTGTGCAGGCGCAAGGGAGGGCCTATTAGATTGCACCTGTGAGAAGCTAGTCATGCCTTGGGAAACTAGCATCTGGAGGGATGGCTGGGGTAAAAGGTGGGCCACGGTAAGAGGTGGGATTATGAGGATAGAAGAGATGCATAAGAGAGGTGCCCAGACATGCTCCTAGTATGTACAATGATGTTCAATAAAACCATCCTCCATGTCTGTCTATTTCACTGTCACTAGAATATCCGTGTCATTAAAAATATTCTCTTTAACTTCTCACAAGCAAACACAGCCATTTCTTTATTACCTTGGTACACCCAAAGGGCTAGAATAGACACTGAATGGCTGAAGAGATGCATTTTTCAAATGTTAGAAAAATGAAGTAATTTTCTCTTAGACATTTAAGGATTCATTATTTCAACATGGAATATGGCTCTTGATTGAGTTTCAAGGGCCTTCCAGGGACTCTCCCATCCAATATCTCCTGCATTCTTCTGTCTAACAAATCTTTTCATTCTATTCTTTTTGAATAAATTGAGGCATCTTACTGCAGTGTTTTTGATAACATTAGAACTAATTTTGAACTTTAAAAGCTGCTTTCAGCATTTGAGTAATTCCCAGAATTTATTCATCAACTTGTAGTATTCCTCTCTCTGAAACAGAAACTATTATTTTATTTTCTTGATATTTTTGTTGGTAAATCCCATGGACTGTTGAATTACAGTTCCTCAATATGATCCAATTTTAAAACTTTTTCCTTTAAAAATTAACTCTTCTTCCCTTGTTGCTCTGCACATGAGCCATTGGTCACAAATATAGCTTGCATGTATTTTTTCTTTTTAATTCATGAAGTTTAGAATTTCACTAATAAATATTTTCTCTGACAAAGAATACTGTGAATGAAAGGATCCTATACATATAATTATCATGTAATGTTAATTAGGACAAACATCATTTAGTCATTTTAAGCCATTAATGCAAAAATGTAAACTGAAGCATGTACCTTTCTTAGTCGTTCATCTCTTGTTCTAGGGGAAGTCTTCTCCCTGATACATTTTTAATTATGGGTACGGGATTCCTCTGGGTCTCATAAAAAAAAAAACTGCGATGTTTCAGAAAATTGTCAGCATTTCAGATAACTGATTGATGAATAATGACAGCAAAATCAATTGTGTTCCTACCATGTGCCAAACATTGTGCTAAGTACTTCACATACATTACTTCATTCAATTCTCACAAAGACCCAATCAACAGATCAGGACACTGAAGCATTTTCAGTGACCTAGTTTGTCAAGGACTGCAGAGTCAATTTTAAGAGTAAAATGCAGGTCAGTCTGTCTCCATAATCAGTGCGACAAACCTAATTTTAGAGACCCTGCAGAAGCTGGCACTACACTAAAATATTTTTTATTTCTGCTTGATATACATCATTGACTCCACTTTAATCCTTTGTGCAGCTCTCATATAAGATCTTCTAAGTGGTACAGCTTTAACAAGAGTTTCTCTAATTTTCTTCCTCACAACCTCAATTTCTCTCTTAATTTAAACGCAGTCTTTCTTCTTTTTACCACAGTGGAAAAAATGTATTTTTTCCTTTCTATCACTATTAAATATACCATCACTATCACTCTGCCATTTCTTTGTTGCTTCTGTCTCCTCTATACTTTTTGCATGGAATCCTTCTCTATCTTGACTGTAAGTTTATTTGCTCTCTCGCCTCTAGTTCCCCCTCTTCTATGTAAAAACATGCTTAAATGTCTTCCTTTTTAAAAGCCATTTAAAAACTGATAATATTCCTTTGAAAATTTTTTGACTCTTGTTAAGACTGGATTGTTGGTTGGAAAGAGACTGAACCTTTACATTAAGATATCTGTGGTTCTAGCTGTGCAGAGCGGGTAAGAGCAGGAACAGGGAAAATGAGACCTAAATTGTCAAATGCCATAAAACAAAATAAAATTTAGATAAACAGAGGGAAGCAGAGAGGTGTTCTAGATTGATAAGAAAGAATGGGCAAAGGAAGAATAATCCTGGCAAGTCCAACAGATAGCGAAGAATTAACCATAACTAGCAGAGAGACAGAAATTTGGCGTAGTTCACCAAGAGCTTGAAATTCTAGCCTGGAGGTAGATTTCAATTAAAATACCTGGAAGAGCTTCCTTGATGAGGAAGTAAAGAAATGAACTAGTGTTTCTGAAATATATTTCAGGTGAGAATGAGAAAAAGAGACTGCAGTGGAAAATATCTAGAAGCAGAAATATTGGTTGAAAGATGTAGTAATCCTACTGATGTCATGATCTAGGCTGGTAATTGTAGATGACCCTGAAAACTATTGTGGCAGAAACATCAGGAAACAATAATGTCTAAATTGATAGTAAACAGAATGGTGTACACTCAGAAGGTGATATAAGATAATATCAAAATTTTAAGAATCATGGACCTAGAGATTGATAGCTCCTATAGTATAGCATAATTTTGTGTGAGAAGATGTAAGAAAGGCATTTTTACTCATGTTGTTGAAAGCTAGAAAATTTTACAAGTTCTCAGAAAAAAAGAATTTTATATTCAAAGAACAGAGTTTCATAATCATTTATTTTTAATTAAATTTTTAGTGGAATATGCATTATCTTGTGGAAATTATTTCAAGTTGTAATGCATTTACTTTGTGTAAATTACTTCTGTATTCACAGAATTGACCGTTTGTGACTAGATCAATAATTTCAAGGTGATCTTTAAATATCAGCCTCATTTTCTGTATCCCGATTTCTGCTGCTTAATTATCTCTTTTATTTTTTTCTAAACTTCTGTTTGGATGCTGATCCCAGTGTCTTACCTTGATCTTCAAATATAGGCAGAACACATCTTTTAAATATCTGCTTAATAGATGAATATATTAACACAAGCCATAGATTCACCTACTATTAGGCTCATCAGGAATTTCCCCCTGTCTCTGACCCTGCATGAGTTTTCTTTTTGTCACTCTCCATTCATTAATGTATTATTTATTGGGCATATAAGAAGTGCTAGTGCTAGGAAGCCAACCATAACCCAGCACTTTGGGAGATTATATTTTAGTAGGTAGAAACTGACAATAAGTAAGTAAGTAAATAGATGATATATTTCTGATTGTGGAAACTGCTTTAAAGGAAATAATTATGGTATTGTGATAAAGAAATATATGGAAAGAAAAGTCAAAATTAGATAGAATGCTCAACAAAGACCTTTCTGAAGACATGACTTTTGAGAAAAGATCTGAAAAGTGAAAACACTAACCATGGTAAGTGCCAGATGAAAAGTATCTGAGGCAGAGAAAATAACAGTTAAAGGCTAAGACTGTAAACTCTTAGAGGAAAACAGTGAGATAAATTTTTATGAACTTGTATTTAGCAAAAAAAGTCCTAGACAATTTCAGAAGCACAATCAAGATCAACAAAAGATAAAAATAGATAAATTAGTCTTCTTCAAATTAAAAGCTATTGTGCTTAAGGGACACCATCAAACAAGTGAAAAGACAATATATAGAATGAGGGCAAATACTTGCAAATCATAATCTGTCTAGAACGTATAAACAATTCTAAGAAGTCAATATTGAAAAGGCAACCCAATTAAAAATAGAGAAAGAATTTGAACAGGCACTTCTCCAAAGACAATATAAAAATGGCCAATAAGTACATAAAATTATGCTTTTTGTCTTGAGTAATCTAGGAAATGTAAATGAAAACATCAATGAGATAACATTTCACATCCAGTAGGATATTTTAGTCCATTTAAGATGCTCCAACGAAAGTGCCTTAAGATGAGTGGCTTGCAAACAATATAAATTTATGTCCCTCAGTTCTGGAGGCTGAGAAGTCCAAGATCAAGGCATGAACATATTTGAAGTATGGTGAGGCCATGCTTCCTCATAGACAGCACCTCCTCTCTGCATCCTCATATGGTGGAAAGGGTGAGCTAGCTCTCTGGGATCTCTTTTATAAGGGCGCGAATCCCATTCATGACGGCTCTGTTCTCACAATCTAATTGCATCCCAAAGGCCTCACTTCCTAGTGCTATCACCTTGGGATCTAAGATTTAGACATATAAATTTTGGGGGAACATAAACATTCAGTTCATTGCAGATGCTATAACTAAAAAGTCAGATAACAACAAGTGTTGGCAAGGATATGGAGAGATTAGAATTGTCATACACTGTGGGTAGGAATGTAAAATGGCACAACTTCTTTGGAAAACAGATAGATAGTTTCTAAAACAATTAAGCATATAGATACCATATGACCCAGCAATTCTACTAATAGAAGTATATTAAAGAGATGTGGAAATATATGTCCACATAAAAACTTGGACATGAATGCTTATAACAGCATTATTCATGATAGCCAAAAGGTAGAAACAACCCAAATGTACATTAATAGATTTATAAACAATGTATGGTATATCAATACAATGGAATATTATTTGACCATAAAAAGAAAGGAAGTACTGACTGATACATGCTATAATATAAATAAAACTTGAAAACATTATGGTGAAAGAAGACAGTCACAAAAGAAAACTTATTACTTTACTTCATTCATGTGAAAATCTAGAATACGAAAATAAAGAAACATAAAGTAGATTAGTGGTTGCTTAGTGATGGAGGTGGGGGATAGCAGGATAGGGAACTGATAGTAGCTAATGGGTATACCGTTTTTTGAGGTGATAAAAATATTCTAAAATAGACTGTGGTATGGCTATGCATATCTGAGAATATACTACAAATCATGAAATTATACATATTAAGTGAATGAATTATATGGTATGTGAATTATATCTCAATCAAGTCGGGGTTTTTTTGTTTGTTTTATAAAAAGCTCCATTAGAACACAAGCCTGCATGGCTGAATTAGAATGATATAAATTGAGGTTGGAGACATGACAAGGCAAAATTAATTCAAGATGGATTAAAGACTTACATGTTAGATGTAAAACCATAAAAACCCTAGAAGAAAACCTAGGCAGTACCATTCAGGACATAGGCACGGGCAAGGACTTCATGTCTAAAACACAAAAAAGCAATGGCAACAAAAGCCAGAACTGACAAATAGGATCTAATTAAACTAAAGAGCTTCTGCACAGTAAGAGAAGCCACCATCAGAGTGAACAGGCAACCTACAGAATGGGAGAAAATGTTTGCAACCTACTCATCTGACAAACGGCTAATATCCAGAATCTACAATGAACTCCAACAAATCTACAAGAAAAAAACAAACAACCCCATCAAAAAGTGGGCAAAGGATATGAACAGACACTTCTCAAAAGAAGACATTTATGCAGCCAAAAAGCACATGAAAAAATGCTCATCATCACTGGCCATCAGAGAAATGCAAATCAAAACCACAATGAGATACCATCTCACACCAGTTAGAATGGCGATCATTAAAAAGTCAGGAAACAACAGGTGCTGGAGAGGATGTGGAGAAATAGGAACACTTTTACACTGTTGGTGGGACTGTAAACTAGTTCAACCATTGTGGAAGTTGGTGTGGCCATTCCTCAGGGATCTAGAACTAGAAATACCATTTGACCCAGCCAGCCCATTACTGGGTATATACGCAAAGGATTATAAATCATGCTGCTATAAAGACACATGCACACGTACATGTATTGCGGCACTATTCACAATAGCAAAGTCTTGGAACCAACCCAAATGCCCAACAATGATAGACTGGATTAAGAAAATGTGGCACATATACACCATGGAATACTATGCAGCCATAAAAAATGATGAGTTCATGTCCTTTGCAGGGACATGGATGAAGCTGGAAACCATCATTCTCAGCAAACTATCGCAAGGACAAAAAACCAAACACCGCATGTTCTCACTCATAGGTGGGAATTGAACAATGAGAACACATGGACACAGGAAGGGGAACATCACACATTGGGGACTGTTGTGGGGTGGGGGGAGTGGGGAGGGATAGCATTAGGAGATATACCTAATGCTAAATGATGAGTTAATGGGTGCAGCACACCAACATGGCACATGTATACATATGTAACAAACCTGCACGTTGTGCACATGTATCCTAAAACTTAAAGTATAATAATAATAATAATAATAAAGAAAGAGCAAACAGAAAAAAAAAAAAAAAAAAGAAAGCCCAGGACGTCCTCTGGAAGCTAACCTGTGGGCTTCCCCTCCTTTTCTACTAACTCTCACCTCAGTATCTTCTACCTGACATCTGGGATTACCAGCAGGTACTGAATAGCTGTTGAAATTTACCTTCACAGCCATCTTCATAACATGTGACTTTTCTCTATTGGCAAAGCCAAATATCAGCTTTCCTAGAAAAGTGAGTGATAAAAATAGGAGTCCCACATCTCAGGCTAAATTTAACTGTTTCCTTCTCCTAATTAAAAAGTTATCCACATACACACCCTGAGACTTGGTTATTATTCCTGTTCCTTTTTGTATTTCCTCTCTTGTCTACTTTTCAGAAAAAGTAGATTAGTGTCTGGAAGATTAGGGGAGAAAGGTATGGGTTTCCATATGGATCTGCACTGAAGTTTTTAATTAATGTTAAAAGGTTTTCTGTACTTGGACATGTAGCATTTTCATTATAGCATGCCTAACACAAAAGGGGCAGGATATCACATGTGGATTGAAACCCATTCTTTGTCCATGTTTCCATTTCTTCAACTGTGACATAGAATAATAGTACGTGAGAAGGGAAAATTACAAGAAATGAGGAAAACAACCATTTATTGAGAGCCTGCTATGTACAAAACCCAGTGCTCAAAACACTTAATTTAAGTATCTGGACAGCTCTATCTTATACATATCATGGGTTTAATATTATACCTAAATAAACTGAGGTTCAAATTTATCATTCTCTTCCAAAATGGACAAGCACCTGTGCGTGTTTGCAGGCGGTGGGTGGGGTTCTGACATTTGAAACAGAGTTAGGAGGTGACAAGAAGGTGGGTTGCAGTGCAGTGTGGACAGGGTGATGCTCCCCACACTACCACAATGAATTCTGAAAAGTCCAAGAATTCTAAATTCAAACACGAGCTTCCAGAATGTTTTGAGAGTAGGAGAATGGAACATATTGGTTGAATATTATTAGTTTAATTTATAAGTACATTTAAACCTATGGTATGTGGCCTCCCTTTGTCCTTTTGTCTCAGGCCCTTCAATATTGGAGATAGGCTCACGTCAATGTATGTGAGCATGCAGGGGTTGCAATGTAGACATGGGGTAGGCACAGTGCAGGGTAGATTAAGAAACTGACATTGTGTTTACAGAATATGATACATGAAGACCAAATAATTTACAGAACTTGATACATGAAGGCAAAATAACATGATACATGAAGACCTAATATTTACTGGGCACAGAGTCTGAAAGAAACTATTTGACTCCATGAAGGATGCTTTTCCTAGGTTACTCTCTAGAAAAGAAGAAAGAATAGATTTGCATGACAATCTAAAGATGAGAGCCCTTATGAAGCTACATCTGGCTGAGAGCCAGGGGTGCAGCTGAGAGGGTGTTTATTGCTGATCAGAAGGAGAAACTCCCCAATGTCATCTCAGCCCTTTACTGTTGAAACAATTCTCAGCAGAACAAGACTTTGATCAACTTCCATTGTGCTTTCTTTGTTTCTGGAAGCAGTAGGGATTCCGTGGGAATAAGAAAAGCAACCCAACCCCACCCCTGAGTGAAACAGAGTAGAGAGAATGGTAGTTGGTTGAGAATATAACCAAACACTTAAAAACACTCACTTCCACTTTGAGGGTTTCAGGGTGCACCCAGTGAAACAAGAATTCTCACTTATTCTTTCCACAGACCGGAGTGGGTGCAGTTGAAAGGAGTGCAGGGTGACAGGTAAAGGAAGAGAAATAACCCTGTTAGTTCTTCATTATTATGGTAGATACAAAATCCTCTGGGAATAAGCTGGTTTTACCAATCATGGGTTAGTTAGGAAGATATTTCTCTTCCTTCTAATGTACTTAGATCAAGGGTTACAAAGGAATATAGACAGGATAAAGAGGCTGAATTCATCCTATTTTATATTTACATTACCTTGCTGGCTCTGGCAGCATTCTTCTAGTTTGTGTCCTGGAGCTTAGAACATGTTGTCTCTGAAAATTAATACTTATCCTTGGAAGGTGTGTGTGTGTGTGTGTGTGTGTGTGTGTGGTGTGAGAGAGAGAGAAAGTGAAAAGAGAGGCAGAGAGAGAGAGACATAGAAAAGAATGACAGGACAGGGAAGCAACAACAGAAGGCAGGTACTGAGCAGAAAACATCAGATAAATGTATGCAGCCATTAGATGCTGCATACACTGATATGGTGGCCTCTCAGTGGCCTTGGCATTGGATGTCTGTCATTTCCCTGACACCTCTAGGAGTTTGGGACCCACTGGATCAAACACATCAGTAGAAACAAACTGCTAAAGATTGAATTGTATTTCCCCCCATTCTTATGTTGAAACCTTATGCTCATATGTGACTATATTTGGAGAACGGTTTTAGGAAGTAATTAAGGTAAATGAGGTCATAAGGGTGAGGTCCTAATTCGACAGGATTGGTGGCCTCATTAACAGAGACAGAGAGAGGGCGATCTCTATTCATGTGGATGCACTAAGGACAGGCCATGTGAGGACACAGCAAGGAGGCCATCTGCAAGTCAAGAAGAGAGCCATCACCAGAAACCAAACCCTGCTGGAATTCTAATCAGAATTCCAGCTCCCAGAACTGTAAGAAAATAGATGTCTGTTTAAGTTACTCAGTCTATGGTATTTTGTTATGACAGCCTGAGCTGATTAATACACATATTAGAAAGAAAGCTGGATTTCACAGTGAGGCAACCTCTACAGTAATAAGGTTTCCTCCCAGGCTGATGAGAAAAAGGAGGTACCAGAGAGTTGTATATTGAGAACAGGGTAGCAAGAACAGATAATGGGATATCTAAATGGAGTTTAACTTTGGGGTGCTTTTCTCTTGTGCTCTGGGAAAGTCATATTTAGAGCAGAGATTGAAATTTCTCTATCTCCTTATACAAAGAAATTGTCTGTAGTGACTCTACCCCTTAAGAAAAATATGATAGACTCCTTCGGTGTTGTTTGTTGATATGGAAAATAAAGATGTAAAGATGAGAATGTTCTGCCAACTTTTCTTCAGAGAGAGAAGCAGACTATCAAAAAAGAAAGGAAAGCAGAAAGGGAAGGAGGGATGGAGGGAGAGAGAGACAGAGAGGCATAATACACACTGACTCACTGGCTAAATTTGGGATGGCAGGGAGAGCATACGTTATTGAGTAGCCACTGCCTGGTGGACAAAAGTAAAAGGAACATGAGATAGCCCTTTGTTTCTCAAGCTAAGAGTAGAGAGGTAAAATGAGTCCTAAAGGGCTTACTGAAACTGAAATTTGAGTAACTTAAGTAGTATTATATGAAGTAACTAGAATCAAAGTTACCTTGCAATCCTAACTCCTCATCCTCTAATTCCAAAAGAGGGATGATACACGGGCATACCTGGAGTGAATTTTCTTCTGTCATATACTTTTGGATTGATAATTGGTCATACCAAGAGAATAGAAGGGATTCAAAGGCAAATCATCACACAGTCTTTTGCAATGGCTGGCCCTGTAGAGGGAGTGGAGATGGGAATGTGGTCAGGGCATTTTAAAAGTACATCTGTCTCAGCCCTGATGTTTCTGGCCTACATCTTAGGTGCAAAGTATGACTCAGCATACAGGTTGGAAGATTTTACTCTATTGCCAGGACCCTATACTCAATGTATACTGTGCATTGTATTAGGAGTGAAAATAAGTGTAATGTTATTTTGTTTTGTAAAAGATCTGCATTTATTTCTGCAGAGCGTGTACTGACAATATAGATAATAAAATATTGAGTCAGCATTAGCTACAAGACTATGATGAGGTTTCCATGAGAAATGAAATAATAATTATGTCTTGCACGTGTATTACACTTGATAAATTATCACAGATCGCATTTAATCTTCACAATAGCCCTTTAATCTAGGTAAAATAAATATTATACTATTTCAACTTTTTGCAAGTCCATCTAATTTACAGATCAAAGTTTACAAAGTAAATCAACAAGAACTTGCTGAGTACAAGTCCAGTGCTCCATCCACCATGCCACAGCTGTTCTGCTAGAGTAATTTTATAAATCTGTTATTGAAATATTTAAATTAAATTAATTTTTTATAATTTACCAATATGGGTCCTTTTACCTTGCTCACAAATTTAATTGTAACAAATATAATATGAATTTACTATTTTCACTGAGTCATTAGATATTACATTTTTTATTTTAGCATTATATTTTAGGATTGGTCAAATATTTATTTTTGAAACCAAGAATACTTGGAGACATTTACAAGGCCATGTGTGTATTAGACGATAGTTTTTTACAAGTGGAATCCTTGTCTTTGGTATATTTTTAGTCTCAGCACAGAATACAATGCCTGGCACTTAGTAAGCATTGAATAAACATTTAGTTAATTGAATAGAAGACCATAAATTATGAAATTCAAGAAGTTAAAGGCATGATTTTAGATTATAAGCATTATAATATTCCAGATAAAAATAAATTCAAAAACAATACCAGAGAATAAGTAATCATTAAGGGGTAGCAATATATAGCTATATATTTGTAAACATCTTTTCCTTTAAAGTCTCAAAGTGAAAATCCTCTACATGATAAAATCCTATTGAAAATCTAGGTTGTGTTTGATTTTCGTTATGTATTGTTTTCCAGTGGACATTGAGTTTCTTAATACAGAGAACTGTGATTTATCTGTGGTTTCAGATTGGCCTTCCCTGCACTATACTCCCACAGCTAAACTAACTTTCCCCAACAGATTACTCTATAGACTAAATGCACATATGAATTGCACATTGGACTACAATTCCAAGAAGACAGGTGCTGACAATTGACTTGTCACTATTGTCTACCCCAGGTCTTGTATATATCCTGCACATAATACACACTTAATAAATATTTGTTTATTATCAAAATTATAAAAATATAAATACAGAACATTTTGCAGTTTATATAATCTCATAAATAGTAAATACCAAAGATAAATCAGTACCTTACAGTAACTTATTTATTGAACCATTATTCTGTGTAGAAAATTAAATTATATAGTTGGAGACAAAAAATATTTTAAAATGCAGTTAAAATAAAGCATATTAAATTACTTAAAAGATTTATTTTACCAGATGTTTTGGCATCTACTAAACATAGTGTAAATATATTTTTTTTAATCCACTTTCAACAGAACTGGCTAGAGAAAAAAAATGTCTCAAATAAATTATTTTCAGCTTCTAGAGCTGTATTTGTGTTTATATCCAGTTACACGCTGCGATTCACTCAGTTATTCCTGGGGCATTCTTTAGTCAGAATCTGAAAATACTTCTTCCTTGTTCTTCTTATTCCTTTTTGCTTCCCCTCAAATCGCAAGACAAGCAAACAATGAACAAGAAAAAAACTTATATTGAGGCACAGAGTTTCACTTTTGAAAGGAAAGTGAGCAAAATACTGGCAATGGATGAGTCATATCTTCCTTTTTGTAGTTTGATTGGAGCTTCAGGCTCTTTGTAAACCCAAGGAAGAGAAGTTCATTAGGGTCTCCTCCTTATGTTGGTCATGACCCCTACCTCAGGCTTATCAGCAATGTCCAATGTGAGAGTTGACCCTATGTAATCGATTGATTAAATGTCTCATTTGAAAGCTAGGAAGAAAATAAATTAAATTGGTATTTAGAGATAGAAAAATAAATCAATGATGGTCAATATACTAACATCCCTATATCACACAATGCTCTCTAGAATTTTGCAGAAGAAAAGTAACAAATTTACTAAATATAACAAAAATTCTTAACCATAATTCTTATGCAGTTATCTGAAACAGACACCAAGATTTGTAAAATCTCTAGAGTTTTGGTAATTTTGACTTAAAATAGCGAAATAAATCTCTTTGACAAAATCTCAAAATATTTCTAAGTTATTTTTGTTGTTGTTTAGGATTTTTAGTCTTATAGTGCTGTTTTAGCCTCTCACTCAAGTTACTAAGATAGTTTCCCAGCTGGTCTGCATGTTGCTAGTTTCTCAGTTACCAAGGTCACAGAATATTTTTCTTCAACATCAAATTTAAGAAAAAACATTTGTCCCAGTGGCCACTTCTAGGATAGTGAGAGAATTGATGTAGTACTGGACAGCCTGAAGTTCTGAGGATACATCTTTGAGGATACGAAAAGAAAAGTCATGAGCAGCTAAAATATAGAAATGCATCTGTGGAAGTGGTCTAGCTGCTCATTCTTAGAATGAAGATAAAGCGATAGGAAACAGAAAATACTGGAAAAGTTCACTTTGTCCCTGGAGGGCTGTTTGAAATGATAGATTAAGAATTCAAACATGGACTAAAAAATCCCCTGGGAGAAAATTTGTCATTCTACAAAAGTTTCTAAATATAGCGTAGTGACAGCATCATGAATTATTTTCCTGTCTATCTCTTTTGGATTTGGTCTGTGTGTCAGAGTGAGAGTAAGCACACCACAAAAGAGCCATTTCATTGACACATGAAGGGGTGCGAAAAAGAATGCTGTCTGCAATTCCTTTGATTGCTTTGTGTAAACACAGTCACGCAGGGGCAGGTGGCTGGTTTTTTGGCCTAAAGAGAAAAATGAGCTATGAGCGAATAAACTAAAGTAGATGTGGCAGAAAATGGTGACGCCACTACAGGAAAACCAAGAGGATTCACTTATAAAACCTATGTGAGAGGTACCATTCAAAAGAAAGACTTAGGGGCAATTGAGGTGTGGGGATTCCTTCATTTCTGGAACTATAATTTATTTTGTAAGAGGTGTCGTTCCCCCTTCAGCAGTGCAATCCGTCCATGAAACTCTAGGATTTATAATTCTATCCCTGATTTGTAAAATGCATTTTCAATTGCATAATAACCACTCTACTTGGATGACATACATGGACCTTGAGCAAACCCAAATTTATTGCTTTGGCTCCAAAATCAGCAACTCTTGTTGACTTGCATGTTTGGATTAATGGCACTTGCAGTCTCTGACTTATCCAGAATTAAACCTTTGAGGCATCTTTGACTTTTTTTCACATTTATCCTATAAGTTGAAAAATCCTCAATTACATTTACCTGCCATATTCTGCTTTCCAGTTTTCATCTACAACCATTTTTTAGTTAGCATTATTGACAATAGCTGTTCGTGTTTGGTGAGTGCTTACTAGGTGCTTACTAAAGCATGAAGGGCCTTTCATGACTACTCTTAGGTAATCCTCATAACAAATATGAAAAAGAGGTAAAATTTTAGTCACTGTTTTCCAAAATATTGGGAAATAGCACTCAAAAAGAATTAATTATTTGCTTGAAATCACTAAGACAATAAACAATCAAGCAAGGAGTTGACCAACAACAGTGTAGCCCCAGAGTCCAAAGTCTTACACATGCACTTATCTAACTTCCACAGAGATATTTGTTACTTCTCAGAAGAACAATTTATTAGACTCCTGCCTGAATCCTGCCCTCCAACTGACAGTCACTCACAACACTAATTTATTCTAAACATTGCTGTAAGAAATATTTTGTGAAAATGTGAAACCTCAATTATATCAGCTTCACAGTAAACTTTTAATAGCTGTTCATTGTCTTCACAATTAAGTAAAACTGCCTCTCTTTACACTTTCAGACTTTTCATTTTTTAGAAACTATCTACCTATTTCCTATCACCCTATTTCCTTCTATTCTTTTCTATTTAATAATTCCTGAGCAATTTCTGTTGTTTGTCTGATACCATAGTTTATCTTCTGCAGTTCTTTCCACCTTGATTGCCATCCTACTGATTTACTACTTCGTCTTTAAAATTATTTGAAATAGTGTCTTCATGATTAATACATTTCTGAGCAAATCTTTGTAGTGGGGCATCAGGTCTCTTGGTCTCCCATTGTACTTGGTCTGTAAATCACTAAAAACCATTATCTTACTCTCATGATCACTAATTACATATGGGTACAATTAAATTTATCAGAGACTAAATTACCCTAACATTGGAACTTAGTCCCACTAATGCTACTCATTTTTTCCCACAATGATTAATTAATTGGTTAATTAACTCTTTATTGAATTGGACTGAAGTAGGGACAGAAGGGTTAAGGAAAAGTGTTCAATGTGGAAAATAACTAAGCAGAGGGAAGAGCAGGAGGGCTGAAGGAAATGGTAAAGTTTAAAGGAATGAGGAGTCCTAAGTGACATATGAACTCCAAATTCAGGCATGAGGAGACCAGAGACTCAGTCCTATCCTGGAAGGGTTATGGGCAATGTCAAATGTAGTCTGCAAGAAAACTGGAAATAAGTAGAATTTCTAGGATGTTTTGTGGAAGTACAGAAAGTGTTAGGACAGAGATATTTTAAAGAGGGGAAAAACAACCATGTACGTGAGACTCACACTGGATAGCCAAATTTCATAAATTAGCAACAAAGCCATCATCTGGAACTAAAGAAGAAAGAGCAAGCTGATACTTGAAGCACAACAATGTCTCCTATAGGGAAGAAGAAAAGAATCCAACACAAAGAAATAAAAATATTTATCTGCATCATTAAGACTCCAGTGAGAGGGAGGTAGTATGAATTCTAATGAGCATAGTGAGCATGACTTTCTTACTTTTATCCACAAAGCTTAGGCAGATGTCTAGGTAATTAAGAAACAGTAAGTTCTCATATAGCACTATCAAAAACATTGCATAGAAACAATTAAAATTAAATATAGATTTTTTTCATTCTTTTTGTTAGAAAAGACTTTTCCAGCAGT
The DNA here is from genome assembly GCF_000001405.40 of Homo sapiens. Taxonomy (NCBI): domain Eukaryota; kingdom Metazoa; phylum Chordata; class Mammalia; order Primates; family Hominidae; genus Homo; species Homo sapiens. The sequence goes on along the minus strand of NC_000006.12, from coordinate 62,321,733 downwards.
TTTAGGTTCACTGCAAAACAGTGGCAAATACACAAAGTTCCCTTATACCTAGGCATGGCTTCATCCATGGTCAATATCCTGTGTCTGAGTGGTACATTTGTTACAACCAATGAACCTATGTATTGACACATTATTATCACTAAAGACCATAGTTTACATTAGGTGAATTCTTGGTGTTTACATTCTATGGGTTTTGACAAATGTATAATGAAATGTATCCACCATTATAGTACCATACAGAATAGTTTCACTGCCCTAAAAATCATCTGTACTCCACTTACTCATCCCTTCCGCCTTCCTCCCAATCCCCAGGCAACCAGTGATCTATTTACTACCTCCTCAGTTTTGCCTTTTCCAGAATGTCGTATAATGGTTTGAATCATATAATGTGTAGCCTTTTCGGATTGGTTTATTTCATCCATTAATGTGCTGCGAAGGTTCTTCCATGCCTTTTCATGGCTTGCTAGCTCATTGATTTATAGTGCTTAGTAATATTTCATTTTATGAATATACCACAGTTTATTTACCTATTTTACTGAGGGACATCTTGGCTACTTTCAAGTTTCGGCAATTATGAATAAAGCTACTCTAAAACTCCATATGCAGGTTTTTGTGTAGACATAAGTCATTCAAATCATTTGGATAAATACCAAAGAGAACAATTGCTGGATCGTGTGGTAAGACAATGTTTAGGCTTTAAGAAACTGTCTTCTAAAGCAGCTGTGTTATTTTGCATTCCACCAACAATGGATGGGAGTTCCCATCACTCCACATCCTTGCTAGCATTTGATGTTGTCAGTACCTTAGATTTTCCCCATTGTAATAGTTGTGTAGTGATATCTTATTGCTGTTTTAATTTGCATTTTTCTAATGAAATGTGATGTTTGAATATAAATTTTAGCACATAATCTTGTGTGCATGTGGATATATATGTATATACACAGTCAATTTTGGCACAACATAGTTCTTAATTCTAAAAAAGAGCAATATTTTATAGAGTTAAGGCATGTGTATTATAGATATATATTAATTAAATATATAATTTATATGTTTAATTGAACATAATATATGCCTATACTCTACATATATTAATTAAATATAGAACAGATGAGAGGAGAAAGTAATGAATAAAGTGATACCTTTTCTTTAAAAAGTCATACATTAATATTCAACTGCAGCTAATTTTAATAAAACTAAATATATTTGACTAAGGAGATAACTTCAAATCGATTAAAATGTTATAATTTTTCCAGAATATCAGCTAAATTAATGATGACAATTTCCACCTTAATATGGTTTCCCTTGTTTGCTTTATTTTATTTTCATAACACTATAAATATTTGTTTTACCTTACTTTTTAAAAAATCATTTTTCTGTATTACATGGTTATCTGTTTTCCTAAATAATGCTCACCCAAGCATATAACAAATACCATTCAGAGGGTGCTATTAAAGTCTTATCATCAGCAAATATACATCTGTAAATGGTCATCTATATTTGAAATGATCTCTCAGGCTCTAAGCTCTTGTTCTCTTCTTTATCATGGCTCTAATTGGATATAACTGGATTAAATATTAGGATTTATCTTAGGTTAAGCTACTCAGAAGCAGCACCTTAACGAGAATTAATGTGGAAGTTATTAAATACTAAGTGAATGGTGGAAGCAGAATAAAAAAGGTGAGGCAGGCAAGGGTGCAATTTTAAGCAAAATCCTGCCAAGCCTTTTCCTTTTGTGTTAAATCATTTCTATTCCATCCTCTTACTTCTGTATCTCCCAATCTGCCTCTTATTATTCCTTATCCTTCTCTTTAACTTTACATTTTTGAGCATTCAGATTTTGCAATCTAGCTTATAGGGGATACAATTGCAAGACAAACATTTTTCTTTTTTTGACCACCAAATCATTTCATAGCCTTGCCTCTCTATCCAACACTGGCTTAGAATCCCAGTACCTCTCCAATCCTAGCATATTTGAGACTCATCTCTCCAAGTCTGATTTGCTCAGAAAATTATGAGGTTCCCAGATTTTACTCTGACAGTATTTATGCAAGAACACATAGACATTATTAAATATTTAACTTAGCAATTGGTTTTGATTTTCTCTTTTCCTTTTAAATGATAAATAAAACTGGATTAAATATTAGGATTTATCTTAGGTTAAGCTATTCAGGAGCAGTACATTAACAAGAATTAATGTGCAAGTTATTAAACACTAAGTGAATGGTGGAAGCAGAATAAAAAAGGTGATGCAGGCAAGGGTGCAATATCAAGCAAAATCCTGCCAAAACTTTTCCTTTTTGGTTAAATCATTTTCATGCCATCCCCTTACTTCTATGTTGCCCCATCTGCCTCTTCTTTCTTCTTGTTCTTTTCTTTAACTTGAAATTTTACACTTCTGAGTGCTCAGCTTTTGCAATCTAGCCTATAGGTGTACGATTGTAAGACAAACTTTTTTTTTTCAAATGTAGTAAAAGACAAAAATAAAATTTTTTAAAATTAAAAATTTCAGATAGTTTTAGGTTATTTCTGGGAAGGGGGGCTAATTGAGATCAGGTAGACTAAAAATGCCTAACTGTGTAATATCTTTGACTGGGATATAATGGCAAAGAAACAAGTTATGGAACAGGGTCTTTCATGCAGAAAACACTAAGAAAATGCCCAAGGAGATAACAAATTTGCTTTATTTAAGGAGGAGAACATAGGCCTATGTAGCTGGGACAAGGGAAAGAGGTTGCAGATATTTGTGAAAGCAAATTCTTATATGGTCTTATAGCCATGCAAAGAATTTAAATTTGTTTAAAGGTGATGGGATGCCACTAAAGGTGTTCGATTTTGTTTTTTAACCCTATTTATTGTGTGGAAAATAAACTCTATAAGGCTGAGAGTAGATAAAAGAAGAACTATATTTGAGATGATGTAACTAAGAAATATTGATGACTTAATATTCGCATGTTAGTTGCATTTGAAAAAGTTCTCACAAAGAAACCTGCTTAACTTGGTTTCCTCCTTTCTGTCAAGGCTTATAACCCTATATTTGTCATTGTATAACTATTTTAAACAGTTATTATACACTATAAAATATGTAGCTTGAATAATTATTTAACATGGAAGGGTTCCAATACCAGCAGACCTGTTATAGCAATTAATAGAAGTGTTTCTCTGTTTTTCTCAGGGCTTGTGTCAAGCTCATCTATTTTAGCACCTACAAGGATTCCTAACCCTCTGTTCCATACGAAGTACCAAGGCAGTGCATTAGTTTTCTAGGGCTCCCCTAACAAAATACCAGAGACTGAGTGGCTTAAGCAACAGAAATTTATGTTCTCATAGTTCTGGAGTCTGGAAGTCCAAGGGGAAAGTGTTGGCAGATTTGGCTTCTTCAGAGATTTCTCTCCTTGGCTTGCAGGTAGCCATCTTCCTGCTGTGTCCTCACATGGCCATTTCTCTGTGCATACATGCCCCTGGTGTTCCTTCGTGTGTTTAAAATTAATCTTCTTTTTATTTATTTATTTATTTTTTATGTTTTTAGTGTTTTTTTAAATTTTATTGTTATTATACTTTAAGTTTTAGGGTACATGTGTTGGTTTGTTACATACGTATACATGTGCCATGTTGGTGTGCTGCACCCATTACCTCGTCATTTAGCATTAGGTATATCTCCTAATGGTATCCCTCCCCCCTCCCTCCACCCCACAACAGTCCCCGGTGTGTGATGTTCCCCTTCCTGTGTCCATGTGTTCTCATTGTTCAATTCCCACCTATGAGTGAGAACATGCGGTGTTTGGTTTTTTGTCCTTGTGATAGTTTGCTGAGAATGATGGTTTCCAGCTTCATCCATGTCCCTACAAAGGACATGAACTCATCATTTTTTATGGCTGCATAGTATTCCATGGTGTATATGTGCCACATTTTCTTAATCCAGTCTATCATTGTTGGACATTTGGGTTGGTTCCAAGACTTTGCTATTGTGAATAGTGCCGCAATACACATACGTGGGCATGTGTCTTTATAACAGCATGATTTATAATCCTTTGGGTACATACCCAGTAATGGGCTGGCTGGGTCAAATGGTATTTCTAGTTCTAGATCCCTGAGGCATCGCCACACTGACTTCCACAATGCTTGAACTAGTTTACAGTCCCACCAACAGTGTAAAAGTGTTCCTATTTCTCCACATCCTCTCCAGTACCTGTTGTTTCCTGACTTTTTAATGATCACCATTCTAACTGGTGTGAGATGGTATCTCATTGTGGTTTTGATTTGCATTTCTCTGATGGCCAGTGATGATGAGCATTTTTTCATGTGTTTTTTGGCTGCACAAATGTCTTCTTTTGAGAAGTGTCTGTTCATATCCTTCGCCCACTTTTTGATGGAGTTGTTTGTTTTTTTCTTGTAAATTTGTTTTGAGTTCATTGTAGATTCTGGATATTAGCCATTTGTCAGATGAGTAGGTTGCAAAAATTTTCCCCCATTCTGTAGATTGCCTGTTCACTCTGATGGTAATTTCTTTTGCTGTGCAGAAGCTCTTTAGTTTAATTAGATCCCATTTGTCAATTTTGGCTTTTGTTGCCATTGCTTTTGGTGTTTTAGACATGAAGTCCTTGCCCATGCCTATGTCCTGAATGGCACTGCCTAGGTTTTCTTCTAGGGTTTTTATGGTTTTACATCTAACATGTAAGTCTTTAATCCATCTTGAATTAATTTTTGTATAAGGTGTAAGGAAGGGATCCAGTTTCAGCTTTCTACATATGGCTAGCCAGTTTTCTCAGCACCATTTATTAAATAGGGAATCATTTCCCCCATTGCTTGTTTTTGTCAGGTTTGTCAAAGATCAGATAGTGGTAGATATGCGGCATTATTTCTGAGGGCTCTGTTCTGTTCCATTGATCTATATCTCTGTTTTGGTACCAGTACCATGCTGATTTGGTTACTGTAGCCTTGTAGTATAGTTTGAAGTCAGGTAGTGTGATGCCTCCAGCTTTGCTCTTTTGTCTTAGGATTGACTTGGCAATGCGGGCTCTTTTTTGGTTCCATATGAACTTTAAAGTAGTTTTTTCTAATTCTGTGAAGAAAGTCATTGGTAACTTGATGGGGATGGCATTGAATCTATAAATTACCTTGGGCAGTATGGCCATTTTCACGATATCAATTCTTCCTACGCATGAGCATGGAATGTTCTTCCATTTGTTTGTATCCTCTTTTATTTCATTGACCAGTGGTTTGTAGTTCTCCTTGAAGAGGTCCTTCACATCCCTTGTAAGTTGGATTCCTAGGTATTTTATTCTCTTTGAAGCAATTGTGAATGGGAGTTCACTCATGATTTGGCTCTCTGTTTGTCTGTTATTGGTATATAAGAATGCTTGCGATTTTTGCACATTGATTTTGTATCCTGAGACTTTGCTGAAGTTGCTTATCAGGTTAAGGAGATTTTGGGCTGAGATGACGGGGTTTTCTAGATATACAATCATGTCATCTGCAAACAGGGACAATTTGACTTCCTCTTTTCCTAATTGAATGCCCTTTATTTCCTTCTCCTGCCTGATTGTCCTGGCCAGAACTTCCAACACTATGTTGAATAGCAGTGGTTAGAGAGGGCATCCCTGTCTTGTGCCAGTTTTCAAAAGGAATGCTTCCAGTTTTTGTCCATTCGGTATGATATTGGCTGTGGGTTTGTCATAGATAGCTCTTATTATTTTGAGAAATGTCCCAGCAATGCCTAATTTATTGAGAGTTTTTAGCATGAAGAGTTGTTGAATTTTGTCAAAGGCCTTTTCTGCATTTATTGAGATAATCATGTAGTTTTTGTCTTTGGTTCTGTTTATATGCTGGATTACATTTATTGATTTGCGTGTGTTGAACCAGCCTTGAATCCCAGGGATGAAGCCCACTTGATTATGGTGGATAACCTTTTTGATGTGCTGCTTGATTCGGTTTGCCAGTATTTTATTGAGGATTTTTGCATCAATGTTCATCAAATATATTGGTCTAAAATTCTCTTTTTTTGTTGTGTCCCTGCCAGGCTTTGGTATCAGGATGTTGCTGGCCTCATAAAATGAGTTAGGGAGGATTCCCTCTTTTTCTATTGATTGGAATAGTTTCAGAAGGAATGCTACCAGCTCCTCCTTGCACCTCTGGTAAAATTCGGCTGTGAATCCTTCTGGTCCTGGACTCTTTTTGGTTGGTAAGCTATTAATTATTGCCTCAATTTCAGAGCCTGTTATTGGTCTATTCAGAGATTCAACTTCTTCCTGGTTTAGTCTTTGGAGGGTGTATGTGTCGAAGAATTTATCCATTTCTTCTAGATTTTCTAGTTTATTTGCGTAGAGGTGTTTATAGTATTCTCTGATGGTGGTTTGTATTTCTGTGGGATCGGTGGTGATATCCCCTTTAACATTTTTTATTGCGTCTATTTGATTCGTCTCTCTTTTCTTCTTTATTAGTCTTGCTAGCGTTCTATCAATTTTGTTGATCTTTTCAAAAAAGCGGCTCCTGGATACCTTGATTTTTTTGAAGGGTTTTTTGTGTCTCTATTTCCTTCAGTTCTGCTCTGATCTTAGTTATTTCTTGCCTTCTGCTAGCTTTTGAATGTGTTTGCTCTTGCTTCTCTAGTTCTTTTAATTGTGATGTTAGGTTGTCAGTTTTAGATCTTTCCTGCGAGTTTCTCTTGTGGGCATTCAGTGCTATAAATTTCCCTCTACACACTGCTTTGAATGTGTCCCAGAGATGCCGGTATGTTGTGTCTTTGTTCTCATTGGTTTCAAAAAACATCTTTATTTCTGCCTTCATTTTGTTGTGTACCCAGTAGTCATTCAGGAGCAGGTTGTTCAGTTTCCATGTAGTTGAGCAGTTTTGAGTGAGTTTCTTAATCCAGAGTTCTAGTTTGATTGCACTGTGGTCTGAGAGACAGTTTGTTATAATTTCTGTTCTTTTACGTTTGCTGAGGAGTGCTTCACTTCCAACTATGTGGTCAATTTTGGAATAGGTGTGGTGTGGTGCTGAAATGAATGTATATTCTGTTGATTTGGGGTGGAGAGTTCTGTAGATGTCTATTAGGTCCGCTTGGTGCAGAGCTGAGTTCAGTTCCTGGATATCCTTGTTAACTTTCTGTCTCGTTGATCTGTCTAATGTTGACAGTGGGGTGTTAAAGTCTCCCATTATTATTGTGTGGGAGTCTAAGTCTCTTTGTAGGTCACTAAGGACTTGCTTTATGAATCTGGGTGCTCCTGTATTGGGTGCATATATATTTAGGATAGTTAGCTCTTCTTGTGGAATTGATCCCTTTACCATTATGTAATGGCCTTCTTTGTCTCTTTTGATCTTTGTTGGTTTAACATCCATTTTATCTGAGACTAGGATTGCAACCCCTGCCTTTTTTGTTTTCCATTTGCTTGGTAGATCTTCCTCCATCCCTTTATTTTGAGCCTATGTGTGTCTCTGCACATGAGATGGGTTTCCTGAATACAGCACACTGATGGGTCTTGACTCTTTATCCAGTTTGCCAGTCTGTATCTTTTAATTGGAGCATTTAGCCCGTTTACATTTAAGGTTAATATTGTTATGTGTGAATTTGATCCTGTCATTATGATGTTTGTTGGTTATTTTGCTCATTAGTTGATGCACTTTCTTCCTAGCCTTGATGGTCTTTACAATTTGGCACGTTTTTGCAGAGGCTGGTACCAGTTGTTCCTTTCCATGTTTAGTGCTTCCTTCAGGAGCTCTTTTAGGGCAGGCCTGGTGGTGACAGAATCTCTCAGCATTTGCTTGTCTGTAAAGGATTTTATTTCTCCTTCACTTATGAAGCTTAGTTTGGCTGGATATGAAATTCTGGGTTGAAAATTCTTTTCTTTAAGAATGTTGAATATTGGCCCCCACTCTCTTCTGGCTTGTACAGTTTCTGCCAAGAGATCCACTGTTAGTCTGATGGGCTTCCCTTTGTTGGTAACCCAACCTTTCTCTATGGTTGCCCTTAGCATTTTTTCCTAATCGACAATTATGTGTCTTGGAGTTGCTCTTCTCGAGGAGTATCTCTGTGGCGTTCTCTGTATTTCCTGAATTTTAATGTTGGCCTGCCTTGGTAGATTGGGGAAGTTCTCCTAGATAATATCCTGCAGAGTGTTTTTCAACTTGGTTCCATTCTCCCATCACTTTCAGGTACACCAATCAGACGTAGATTTGGAGTTTTCACATAGTCCCATATTTCTTGGAGGCTTTGTTCATTTCTTTTTATTCTTTTTTCTCTAAACTTCTCACTTCATTTCATTCATTTCGTCTTCCATCATTGATACCCTTTCTTCCAGTTGATTGCATTGGCTACTGAGGCTTGTGCATTCATCACATAGTTCTTGTGCTGTGGTTTTCAGCTCCATCAGGTCCTTTAAAGACTTCTCTGCATTTGTTATTCTAGCTAGCCATTCATCTAATTTTTTTTCAAGGTTTTTAACTTCTTTGCATTGGTTTGAACTTCCTCCTTTAGCTCAGAGTAGTTTGATCTTCTGAATCCTTCTTCTCTCGACTCGTCAAAGTCATTCTCCGTCCAGCTTTGTTCCATTGCTGGTGAGGAGCTGTGTTCCTTTGGAGGAGGAGAGGCACTCTGATTTTTAGTTTCCAGTTTTTCTGCTCTGTTTTTTTCCCTAGATTTTATCTACCTTTGGGGAAGGTAGATTGTGATTTTATCTACCCTTGTGATTTTATCTACCTTTGGTCTTTGATGATGGTGATGTACAGATGGGTTTTTGGTGTGGATGTCCTTTCTGTTTGTTAGTTTTCCTTCTGACAGTCAGGACCCTCAGCTGCAGGTCTGTTGGAGTTTGCTGAAGGTCCACTCCAGACCCTGTTTGCCTGGGTATCAGCAGCGGTGGCTACAGAACAGCATATATTGGTGAACTGCAAATGCTGCTGCCTGATTGTTCCTCTGGAAGTCTTGTCTCAGAGGAGTACCCGGCCATGTGAGGTGTCAGACCGCCCCCACTGGGGGATGCCTCCCAGTTAGGCTACTTGGGGGTCAGGGACCCACTTGAGGAGGCAGTCTGCCCATTCTCAGATCTCAAGCTGCATGCTGGGAGAACCACTACTCTCTTCAAAGCTGTCAGAGAGGGACATTTAAGTCTGCAGAGGTTACTGCTGCCTTTTGTTTGTCTGTGCCCTGCCCCCAGAGGTGGAGCCTACAGAGGCAGGCAGGCCTCCTTGAGCTGTGGTGGGCTCCACCCAGTTCAAGCTTCCTGGCTGCTTTGTTTACCTACTCAAGCCTGGGCACTGGCAGGTGCCCCTCCCCAAGCCTTGCTGCCACCTTGCAGTTTGATCTCAGACTGCTGTGCTAGTGAGGCTCCATGGGCATAGTATCCTCCGAGCCATGTGCCGGATATAATCTCCTTGTGTGCCGTTTGGTAAGCCCATTGGAAAAGTGCAGTATTAGGGTGGGAGTGACCCGATTTTCCACGTGCCGTCTGTCACCCCTTTCTTTGACTAGGAAAGGGAATTCCCTGACACCTCGCGCTTGCTGAGTGAGGCGATGCCTTGCCCTACTTCTGCTCACACACGGTGCGCTGCACCCACTTTCCTGCACCCACTGTCTGGCACTCCCCAGTGAGATGAACCCGGAACCTCAGTTGGAAATGCAGAAATCACCCGGTCTTCTGCGTCGCTCACGCTGGGAGCTGTAGACTGGAGCTGTTCCTATTCGGCCATCTTGGCTCCACCAATCTTCTTATAAGGATGTCAGTCATATTGGATTAAGACCTGCCCTGGACAGCTTCATTTTAACTTAATCACCACTTTAAAGGCCCTATCTCCAAATAGAGTCACATTCTGAGGTACTAGTGGATAGAGATTCAACCTATGAATTTGGGAAGACACCATTCACTCCATAATAGGCAGCCTGTTCTTATGCTAACTACCTGGATCTATGCCTATTGCCTATTGCCAGATCCTTTGATGCTGAATATTATCTGGAATTTTTTTCTCCAATAAACCTATGTCTTACCTGTACATTGACGTTTTCTACTGTTTTGTTCCTCTCACACTGTCATTCCCTATCCTACCCAAGGTGGGATCTAAGCATCAAAGCTATCTAAGCATCAAATTCTATTTACTGTTAATGTCTGAAATACAGTACTAGTTATTTTATATGATATCTGCTTTATTTAGAAAACTTTTTGATACTTTAGAACTTAATTTCTTAAAAACAATGAGCCTGCTTTGTTTAAAGTTGAAGTTAACAGAAAAAAAATTCATAGATGTTTCTATAACATTAGTAAGATGCAACATATAAACTTAATTTCCAAGAGCCACTTAAGTGAAATAGAGGGAATGGAGGTCAACTTCCTGAGGAATGAGAAATGAATGGGAAATAAAAAGAGATCAGAACAGAGAATTCTTTGTAGATGCTGCTCTGTGAAGCAAATGATGTTAGTAGCTGGAGCATTTGGGCCTTCTATGGATAAGTTTGTTAATTTTTTTCTTACATTCCTTAATTTAATCAATATTCATTGAATTTCTACTACATATCAGATACTGGAATACTGTGGTGAATGTAACAGAATGGCATATGGACTTGCCTTCATGGAATTTAGTCAGAGTGGAAGACGAGACAGAATAAACAAGTAGGCAAAATGTGAGATGGTCATAAATGCCATGGAGAAAAATAAAGTAAGAAAGTAGAAAAGGACGTAGGGAGAGATGGTGCAATTTTCAGTGAAGTGATCAGTGACAGCTTCTCTGATGAAGTGACTTTCAAGCAAAGACTTAAATGAAGTGAGGGCATAAGTCATATTGAGATCAAGGGGAAGCATGTTTCCAGCTGAAGAAATATTCAGATGTTTAAATGCTGATGAAAGAGAGCCAGTGCAAAGAGAGAAGTAGAAGATCCAGAAGAATAAAATAATTGAGAGCAAGGTACCAGATGAGGTGAAAATTAATGGGGAAATATAACGCTAATCAGATGGACTGACTGGCCTTAGAAAGGAGAAGGGACAGAATAAAAACTTAGATTTGATTTCATTATAATAACAAGTAACTCTTGTGGATTGCTTCCAATAGTCCAAACACTGATCTAAATATTTAATATACTTACTCATTTATTCCTCATAACAACACCCTTAGGTAGTAGTTATTCCTATTTTACCGATCAGGAAACTGAGGTACAAAGAGGAATTTGCCACAGGTCACAAGCTAATAAGTGGTGGAATTATGTGAATACCCAGACATTCTAGAAATGATTAAACTTTTGAAAAAAGTAATGAAAAGATGAGAGCAGAGTTGTGAGGGGTTAGATGTCAGTTAAAAGGGAAATAGAATGGAAAAGGGTGACAAGAATCTGGGCTTTCTGAATAAATGCCAAGTTTTATAATTATTGTTTTTCTACTCCAGGCATAGGGATAGAATTTAAAAACATTGTCATAAGAACTTGTCATCATGGAATTTATTTGGAATGGAAAAAGAGAGAGAGCAAACAAGTAAATAAGCAAAACATCACCCGTTTTCTACTCTGTTCTTTTTTTCTATAAGTTATTGAGGTACAGGTGGTATTTGATTACATGAATAAGTTCTTTAGTGGTGATTTGTGAGATCCTGGAGCACCCATCACCTGAGCAGTATACACTGCACCATATTGGTTGTCTTTTATCCTTCACCCCTCCCACTCTTCCCCCCAAGTCCCCAAAATCCATTGTATTATTCTTATCCCTTTGCATCCTCATAGCTTAGCTCCCACATGTCAGTGAGAACATACGACATTTGGTTTATATATTCCATCATATATATGTATTCCATCATATATATATTCCATCATATGTATATATTCCATCATATATATATATTCCATCATATGTATATATTCCATCATATATATATATATAAATTCCTTCATATATATATATCACAGTTTCTTCATCCACTCATTGATTGATGGGCATGTGGGTTGGTTCCATGATTTTGCGGTTGTGAATTGTGCTACTATAAACATGGGTATGCAACAATCTTTTTCAAATAATTACCTCTTTTCCTCTGGGTAGATACCCAGTAGTGGGATTCCTGGATCAAATGGTAGTTCTACTTTTAGTTCTTTAAGGAATCTCCACACTGTTTTCCATAGTGGCTCTAGTAGTTTACATTCCCAGCAGCAGTGTAGAAGTGTTCCCTGATTGCCACATCCATGCCAACATCTACTGTTTTTTAATTTTTTATTATTTTTTTATTATGGCCATTCTTACAGGAGTAAAGTAGTATTGCATTGTGGTATTGATTTGCATTTCCCTGATCATTAGTGATGTTGAGCACTTTTTATATGTTTGTTGGCCACTTGTGTATCTTCTTTTGAGAATTGTCTATGCATGTCCTTAGCTCAAGTTTCATTCTTGTTGCCCAGGCTGGAGTGCAGTGGCGTGGTCTCACCTCACTGCAACCTCCACCTCCCGGGTTCAAGCGATTCTTTTAAGAGAAATCATATAAAGATTAACAGAAGTAATTCTTAGTTTAATGAGCATTAAAGAGGCATTACTTGGTTGATGTAGTAAGCTAGTACAATGATGTGTAGAAAAGTTAACCTAGAATTAACAATACGAAGATTGATGACATTTGAACACTAGGGAATCAGAAGGTATCAAGAGGTATTTATTGAAAACAGCCAGCTGTGTAGGTCGTATTTTATGACTGCCTCTTTTTTAAGGTTGTAACAATGGTAGAAGCCAGAAAATAGATAGTCCTGAAGTCCACGTTAAGAAGTTTTTGAACAATTCAAAAACACAAAGGTGGGAAATAGTGTGATCAGAATGGAATTTTTAAAAAATCACACTATCTTTAAACAATGTATGAACTGAAGAGGATGGAGTAAACCTGGGAGGCCAAGAAAGCATTTAAGAAGTTATAGCAAAGTATATGGAACAATGGTAATGACATAAAAGCAGACAGTGGCAGGACTACAGTTGGAGAAGAAGTGATAAATATGTAACATATTAAGAAGTAGAGCCTACAGAATTGTTGGCCAGTTGAATGTGGGGAGGTGAGGAACAAGAAGGAATCAAATACTACCAGGTCACTGGTTTGTGCAACTGAGAGGGTAGAGGAATGCCGAGGAGCTTATTATGTTGGATATCTTCCATTTTCTTTGCAAATCCCCCTGCTCTGTGCTCTAGAAAGGTGGCCTCTATCAACTATTGCAGGTGTCTTCTTGTCCTTTGGCTTCTGGTTTGGATTTAGCTTATAGGTAAAAGAAAATAGAGAAGGAACCAAGTAAGGTGAGTGTTGTTGCCTGGCCCCCTCCTCAGAGTCACCTCAGCTTGTGAATTCTTTAGAGGGAGCTCCCTTGACCCTCTTTTTTAGAGTTTTATTAAGGACTTTTGGTCCTACACCCCAAAAGACTACGGTTAATAACAGCTCTGCTAAAAAACAAAAACAAAAACAAACAAACAAAAAAAACCTGGGAGTTTTATACTGTTTCTTTTGGTTTCCCCTATAAACCACTAAACCTCTGTAAATATCTCCCCCCCACCCTGGATATAAACAGTCTTCACATTTTTCACATTTGATTTTGCCATCTACTTCCTGTTGAGACTGACTAAAATAAATATGTTCAGTTTTTATTCTAAAATGCATTTGTAGACTTCAGCTTTCCATCTAGATGAAGAAACAGGTACTGAATGTCCTCTCTTGCCTGAAACAATAAAAAATAGTGGATATAAGTTAATAATGGACAATGAATCTGGACAAATAGAAAACAAAAAAAGATAAGCTCTATGATTACTATATGTCTTTGAATGTCACGAGAAAAATTTTAAGCCAAGATACAATAAGGAGCACCCATACGGAGATAGAGGTGACAGTACAGAGATACCAAGGAAGTTACTGTTCACAAAGAGAGCTGCATACAGAGAGAATTCCAGACATCTACAGAAGGTCCCCATCAATTATTTAAGAAAAAGCTGATGAGCTAATGAGTGTGAGGAAAATATCCAGAGCTGGGAGAAAGAACCATCTGGAAGGATTAAAGGAAACAGTGCCCAACACTCAAGAAAGCCAGGAATAGTACCTGTTCCAACCAACCAGCCTGAGAAAAACTCACAATTTACAGAATATTAGGTAGAATATTCAGGAAGGCTTACTCAAATAGTGGATAAAAAGCAGTCCTAGACTTAAAAATGCTTCAGACTTACCTAACAAATTATTTTATTAAATAGCAGGAAATAGGGAAAAAAAGAACATGGACGAATAGAAAAGTTGATAGTTCAACAAGGTAGATTTAAATCCAAATATAGCTGGTGATCCCAATTACCCTGATTTGACTGTAACACATTTTATACATGTAGCGAAATATCACATGTAGCTGCAAAATATGTACAAGTCTTACATATCAATACGTTTTAAAAATATGTAAATGGTGTACTCATTCCAATT